>NC_000001.11:204093677-204245193 GCF_000001405.40 Homo sapiens
TCTTGTGCTATGGTTTGGAACTTTGGAATCAGGCATACCGAAAGTGGAATTCTGTCTTCAAGTAAGCCTCAGTTTCCTCATCTGTACAATGAGTTTTGTCCCTGAAGAAAATCCACCTGTGAAGTGCTTAGCTTGTGATCACTCAGTAAATAGGCACTGTCATTATCTTTCTGATGAGGGGCTTCCATATGTGACCTGCCCTGGGCTACAACTCGAACATGGAAATCAGAAGCTTAGCAACACTATTATTTCCACTGCATCAAAGGCCTGGGAGCCCTCCCCTGCCTATACTTTTGTCTCTCAGAGAAGAAGTAATAATTCACTCCATGTGCAAATGGAAAAACTGAGACCTGAAAGGTTGAGTGGTTTGTCCCAGGCCCCATAGTGAGTTAAAGGCATCAAAATCCCTTACACATGTATGGGGCTTTATAAACCATCAAGTGTGTAAAGGGTGTTGACATTTAGAAAATAACTGTGCCGAGTCTCCTAGGGATCTGGTACATGTATTTTGACTGCCAGTTTACGGATGGGAACGATGAGACTCAGAGAACTTAGATGAGCCCAAGATTGTACATTGAGTTTGTGGCAGAGTTGACGCTCAAACTCGAGCCCTCTGCTCTTTCCACCGCACACGCAGACCTCTCACCTGGGCCCTTCTAGACCCTCTCTGCAATTATTTTTTCCCCTCCATACAGGTAGATCTGTGAAGGTGGAGAGTCATGAGCCAGCAGGGACAGGGTTAAATTCTTCCTAAGCAACAGAGCTGGTTTTGAGCTGGGCACCTTCAGTGACCCCATTGTTGACCCCCTTCCCTCGGGTCAGGACTGCAGGCAGTGGGGGAAGGGAAGCACTGCAGGGAGCTCTAATGGCCCAATGCGGGCAGAGAGAGGGCCAGGAAGGGATGCTCATCTGTCTCCCTCTTTGGACAGAGATGAACAAAGATGCCGGTGGCTTTTTCAGTCTCCATAGAAAATCCCCAAGGCTCCCTTGGGGCGGGCTGCCATCAGCTCTTCCTGCACTCTTAATCACACCGTGGAGCACGGGCAGCTCCTGTAGACACAGCAAACCCTGTGATGTGTTGTTGGTTAAGTGGGAACTGGGATAATTTTTGCCAGTAAAGCACCAAATCAGAAAATGGAAGCATCAAATGAACCTTAGGGCTAGTGGGATTTTGGGGCTTGCCTGTCATTCATTCATTGAAAAGGAAAAGGATGGCTTGGGTGGCCCACAGAAGCCAGCATCTGTGACCTCAAATGGATGAGTCCCTGCAAACTGGGAAGGCTGCCCAGTTCCTCTTCCTCTTCCCAAGTGGCCCCCGTCCTGCCACTCCCTTCTATGAGCGCAGACCTTCTGGTTTAGAGCTTCAGTCTGGACCATTGTGCTGTGTCCTCTCCAGGCGGGGAGGGCATCAGGAGTAAACCTCCTTCCACGGCCCTGAGCCGTACAGTAAGTCTCCCAGGGTTGTACGGCAAGGCAGGGGCAGAGCTGTTCTGTAAACAGGCGTCAGTTCAGTTGCCTTGAAACCGCCAACTCTAAGATGGACATCCGAGGGGAAAGGATTTCCAGGAAAGTCGAGGAACTGATTTTAGGGGAAGACTAAATCTCTTTCTCTATCCCCATCTTCTTGTCGTCTGGGTCCCTTGAACTCCCTGCTGAGAAATCCTAAATACACCTTGTCTCTGGGTTGCGCATGGAAGCCTTTAATTGTTTCTAGAGGCAGTGAGGGAAGGCCTTCTAGTTGGTCGGGCAGGTCTGGCACTGTCTGGGTCTTGCTGCTTCTAGACACTTCAATTAGGGATGTTAATTATGGCCTTGTGAACACAGGCTCTCCCAAGGCAGCCGCTCTCCAGCCCTGCTGCCCCCATGTTGTCCCCTCACCAGTCAGTGAGGCTATGTTTATGGTCTCGCCTCTGTCCATCTGCAGATTAAAGATGCCCTGAAAGCATAACTTATTAGCAGTTTTTTGTTCTCTCCATCTTTTAAAAAATTGGATTAAAGTAGACATAATGTAAAATTTACAATTTGTAAATGTGTAGTTCAGAGGCATTAAGTCCATTCACATTGTTTTGCAACCATCACCACCATCTGTCCATGGAACTTTTTCATCTTCCCAAACTGAAACTCTGTTCCCATTAAGCAATAGCGTCCCCTTCCTCTCTCACTCCAGCCCTGTAACTCTATTCTACTTTCTGTCTCTATGAATTTAGCTGTTCTAAGTACCTCACATAAGTAGACACATACAATATTTGACCTTTTATGCCTGGCTTATTTCAGTTAACATAATGTCTTCAATATTTGTCTACATCGTAGATGTGTCAAGATTGCCTTCCAGCTTAGGGCTGATGATATTCCATTGCATGTATATATCATACTTTGTTGATTCATTCATCCATTGATGGACACT
This sequence comes from Homo sapiens, assembly GCF_000001405.40. Taxonomy (NCBI): domain Eukaryota; kingdom Metazoa; phylum Chordata; class Mammalia; order Primates; family Hominidae; genus Homo; species Homo sapiens. The sequence continues at coordinate 204,096,082 of NC_000001.11, forward strand.
TGAGTTGTTTCCCATTTTGGTTGTTGTGAGTAATATTGCTATGAGTTTTGGGGGTATATCCCCAGAAGTGGAATTGCTGGATCATATGGTAATTCTATATCTAATTTCTTGAGGACCCGCCATCATATTTTTCTTTTCTTTTCTTTTTCTTTCTTTCGTTTTTTTTTTTTTTTTTTGCGACAGGGTCTCACTCTGTCTCCCAGGCTGGAGTACAGTGGCATGATCACAGCTCACTGCGGCATCAACCTCCTGGGCTCAAGCGATCCTCCCACCTCAGCCTCCCAAGTAGCTGAGACCACAGTGTATGCCACCATGCCCAGCTGATTTTTGTATTTATTTATTTATTTATTTTTGAGACAGAGTCTTGCTCTGTCGCCCAGGTTAGAGTACAGTGGTGGGTTGTCGGCTCACTGCAGCCTCCATCTCGTGGGCTCAAGCAATTCTCATGCATCAGTCTCCCAAGTAGCTGGGTTTACAGGCACCCGCCACCACACCTGGCTAATTTTTGTATTTTTAGTAGAGATGGGGTTTCACCATGTTGGCCAGGCTGGACTCGAACTCCTGACCTTGTGATCCACCCACCTCAGACTCCCAAAGTGCTGGGATTATATGCATGAGCCACCATGCCCAGCTAATTTTTGTATTTTCTGTAGAGATGAGGTTTTTCCATGTTGCCCAGGCTTCTATCTGTTTTTCACAGCAGCTATACCACTTTTCATTTTACATTCCCATCAGAAATTCTCTACATCCTTGCCAATTCTCCTCCTCCTCTTTCTTCTCTTTTTCTTCTTCTTTCTCCTTCTTTTTTTGATAATAGCCATCCTCTTGGGTATGAAGTGAAAATCCACTGTGCTTTTTATCTTTTAAGGGGGAAGTCAAGGCCTGAGAAACACTGATACGTGCCTCTGCATTGCAGAGCCCCTTGGGCCCAGGCTTTCTAGCCCCATCCTGGCTTCCATTCTCTGTCCTAAACCCCTTTGTCTCCAGTCCATCAAGAGAGGGCAGGGGCGAGGTCCACTGACTGTTAGGGGCCCTGCCTTCCCTCCTGTCACAGCAGCAGAGTGGCTGTGACCTGGCAGAGGTGTTGGGAGGGTGGATGTCCCTAGGGGTCAGGAGGAGGTTTCAGTAATGTGAAATTGGAAGAGTTGAATCATTTCAACCACGGGGCATGGGGATAAAGGAAATCATGATGCAGCCATAGAGTGGAAGATGTGCAGCCATTAAATATGGCTTTATGAATAATTTTTAATATCCAGTTTTTGGTAACATGAAAACTGCTGATGTGTACTATTAAGTGGGAGAAAATAAATATAAAAACTTGCTTATGAGGCCGGGCTCAGTGGCTTATTCCTGTAATCCCAGCACTTTGGGAGGCCGAGGTGGGTGGATCACCTGAGGTCGGGAGTTTGAGACCAGCCTGACCAACATGGAGAAACCCTGTCTCTACTAAAAATACAAAATTAGCTGGGCGTGGTGGCGCATGCCTGTAATCCCAGCTACTCGGGAGGCTGAGGCAGGAGAATCACTTGAACCCGGGAGGTAGAGGTTGCAGTGAGCCGAGATTGCGCCATTGCATTCCAGCCTGAATGCAACAAAAGCGAAACTCCGTCTCAAAAAAAAAAAAAAAGAAAAGAAAAGAAAAAAAAACTTGCTTATGAATGAAAAACAAAACCACCTTCAGAAAAAAAGATTTGATAGAAATAGGCCAAATTGTTGTCAATGGCCACCTCCTGGATGGATGTGAAATGGGTGATTTTTAAAATTGTTTTCTTATTTTTAAATTTTAATTTAAATTTATTTTTTGAGATAGGGTGTTGCTCTGTTGCCCAGGCTGGAGTGCAGTGGTGTGATCATGGCTCACTGCAGCCTCAACCTCAAGTGATCCTCTCATCTCAGCCTCCTTAGTAGCTGGGACTACAGGTGTGTGCCACCACACCTGGCTAATTTTTTCATATTTTTTGTGGAGATGGGATTTCACCATGTTGCCTAGGCTGATCTCAAACTCCTGAACTCAAGCAATCCACCCACCTCGACCTTCCAAAGTGCTGGGATTACAGATGTGAGTCACCATCGCCCAACCTGTTTTCTTTATGTTATTTAAAATTTTGCAGATTGGCTGAACACGGTGGCTCATGCCTGTAATCCCAGCACCTTGGGAGGCCAAGGCGGGCAGATCACCTGAGGTCAGGAGTTCGAAACTAGCCTGACCAACATGGAGAAACCCCATCTCTACTAAAAATACAAAATTAGCCGGGCGTGGAGGCGCATGCCTGTAATCCCAGCTACTCGGGAGGCTGAGGCAGGAGAATTGCTTGAACCGGGGAGGCAGAGAAGTTGTAGTGAGCTGAGATGGTGCCACTGCACTCCAGCCTGGGTGACAGAGCGAGACTCAAAAAAAAAAAAAATTTTGTTGTTGTTGTTGTTGTTGTTGCTGATTTTCTACAGTAAGCACACACTCCTTTTATATTTAGGAAAAAACTGATAAAATAAGAGTGACTACGACTATTCATTAGGCATATGTGTTGCCAGGGTCTACTGAACACTCAGCTCTGCTTGATGCTATTGAAAGTTCAGGAATGAATGCGAAGCTAACAGGGAGGTGTGGGGTTAGGTGGTGGGGAGGACTGGCCAGAACACAGAGGGGTGATGAATGTAAGGGGAGTCAGGGTCTGGGCAGCCTGGAGCCCTCCAGAATGCTGCCTTTGTTCATGAGAAGCCTCATTCATGGGGAAGATACCGTGGGTAGGACTCTGGCCTTGAGTCACCTTGTCTCTGCAAGTGGCGCAGGCAGGCTCCATTGAGCTCTTCACCCATGTTCACCTGGTCCCTTGGCATAGCTGGCAGGAGTGAGCGAAGCTTGTAGCCTGTGAAACCAGGGGTTTTCCTGCCCCAGGTTGACTATTACTTCCCTTGCATCATCCGTACCAGGGCCAAGGGCCTGGTTCCCTTGACTTCCATTGTGGGAGCAGCACTGGCCCAGCAGAGGTGGGACAGTGGGGTTTCCAGGAGATAAACTTCCATGGCTCTTGGGACCTCTGACTAGTAGAAGAGAAGCCAGTATAATCCAACACTTAAAAGAAGAGACTCATTAGCCAGTCTCTGGGTTCAGTTTCTTGGTCACTACTCACTGGCTATGACCTTGGGCAATGGCTTAGCCTCCTTAGGCCTCTGTGTCCTCATAGTAGCTATTTCACAGGACTAATGAAGGAATTAAAAGGCTAAATCCTTATAGATTATGCTTAGCATGTAAGTAGTTGATTCCTATGGTCTGACTGAGAGGTGGATTCTGATGCTAGACTGCCTGGGCTCAAATCATGTTGGTGTCTCAGTGTCTTTTTCTGGCTTTTTTTTTTTTTTTTTTTTTTTGAGACAGGGTCTCTGTAGCTCAGGCTGAAGTGCAGTGGCATGATCATGGCTCACTGCAGCCCCAACCTCCTGTGCTCAAGCCATCCTCCCGAGTAGCTTGGGCTACAGGCATGCCTCACCACACCTGGCAAATTTTTGTATTTTTTGTTGAGATGGAGTTTCATCATGTTGCCCAGGCTGGTCTTGAACTCCTGGGCTCAAGCAGTCCTCCCACTTCGGCCTCCCAAAGTGCTGGGATTACAAGTGTGTGCCACTGCGCCCAGTCGGCATCTCAGGTTTTTCATCTGTAAAGTGGAGATGATAATATGATCTACTTCAGATGATTATTATGAAGATTAAATGAATTAATATAAGTAAAAGTGATTCGAACAGTGCTTGGCACATAGTAAATGCTCAATAAACGTTAGCCATAGGCTGGGCATGGTGGCTTATGCCTATAACCTCAGCATTTTGGGAGGCCAAGGCAGGAGGATAGCTTGAGGCCAGGAGTTCAAGACCAGTCTGGGCAACATAGCAAGACCCTGTCACTATAAAAAATGAATTAGCTGGGCATGGTGGCATGCACCTGTAGTTCCAGCTACTTGTGAGGCTGAGGTGGGAGGATTGCTTGAGGCTGGGAGGTTGAGAGGCTGTAGTGAGCTGTGATTGTGCCACTGTACTCCAGCCTGGGTGACAGAGTGAGACCCCATCTCTAAAAAGTAAAGTTAGCCATAATTGGGGTCTTTCACCACATACTAGTGTGACTCAGCCAGTTGTTTGTGGCTGGCAACTGCCAATTCATCTGATTGTCCCAAGAGCCTCAGTGGATTGGTCAGTGCCCATGACTCCCTTGCTAAATAGTCTTGAATGTCACCATTATTCATTACTATTATTAGTATTGTGGGTTCCACGTGTCAGGATCCCTTCCTGGGTTGTATTTCATCTTACCCCTTTGCCAAGTCTTGGTTGATGTGGTCCTGCCTCAGTTTCCAAAGGGTGCTGGTGATGGAAAGCGGGGTGCTGGGCAGATTGGGGTGAAAGCTGGCTGCTTTGGGGATTGTTTGATGAGCATTATAGTAGATTAAGCTGCTTCTCCCCTTCCTTCCCTGCCCTTATTGAAAAGGCGCCAAAGCCAGGAAAAACAAACAGCCACCCATAAATAAAGAGGACCATGAAATAACAAAATCGAAAAAGAAAACTTGCTTTAGTGGCGGGCTTGGCTGACGATAGGGTAGATAATGGGAGAGGAAACGCAGCCTTTGGAGAGAAAAAGAACGGAACGCGTTGTTCACTGGAAGAATGAATGCTGCCTGAGGAAGAGCTGCTAAACTGGGGTGTCCGATGAGCGAGCCTGTGTTAGGGGAGCTGGTGGTGATTAGGCTTACATGAGGCATGAGTGTCATTCCACCAAGAACCCCTGGGATGGGGGACACCTTAGGCTTAAGCGGGCTGTGCCAACGGGAGGCCGGTGTGCCAGTCTGGCCTAGAGCCTTGGCTGCCATGATCATAGAGCTGCTGCTCACCTCCTCAAGGGCTGGCCAAGCTGGGAGCTGGATGCTTGAATCTCTTAGGGAGCCCCTAGACCTTCTGTCAAGGTATATATTTTTTCTGGAGTGTTAGGGAGACAATCCCAGGGAGGAGAGGAGGAGGCCAAAGTTGTTTGCTGACTGTTTGCATTCAAGGCTGTGCTCCTGTCAACACTGCCTGGTGGCTTTCTGGGTGAATGAAATTTACTGACTTCTCTTCCTTTCTTGTACCACTTACCCATCTGGATCGTGGACCCATTTCTCCTGCCTCTGCAATGAGTTGGGTGCCTGAGGTGGGAAGGGGAGAGAAACCTTTCCTGAGCCCTTGGGATCCCAGGATGCTGTGTGGAAGTGCCCACTTTGGGAGTGGGCTGTGGGCTCACAGATGGGTAGAGGCTGATATTTGAAATGCATTTAAGAAGGGCCTTAGATGGCTGGGCGCGGTGGCTAACACCTATAATCCTAGCATTTTGGGAGGCTGAGACAGGAGGATCACGTGAGCCCAGCTGTTCAAACCAGCCTGGGCAACATAGCGAGATTCCCTCTTTATTTAAAAAAAAAAAAAAGTGGCAGGAGGCCTTGGAAACATACTGGTTTGGGGCTGAGTGGTCTGGCTGGTAGAGGTTTCCTGGAAACACAGTCCTTCATTCAGCCACCACAATACTAAGTGCCAATCTGCTTTGTGCCAGGCATTGGGCTAAGTATTTTCTATATAATAACTTATCAGTTCTCTAGCAAGCATAAGAGGTAGGTATTGTTAGCCCCCATTTCAGACAATGAATCTGAGGTGTAAAGAGGTTAAGTCTCAAGTATTCACTGGGCTACCTAGAGCCCAGCTGCTTCCCAATTTTCCACCCTTCACCTCCTAATCTAGATGACAATGGTAAAATGCCCATTACAGTTGTTCATCACGGCTGTGTGCCAGGCACTGGGCTTTGCCTGTGTTATCTCGTTTACTCTTTGAAACCCCACTAGTGAGTATATATTACTATTTGCCCCAGTTACAGATAAAGGCAGGAGGGTCATTTGAGCCCAGGAGTTCAGGACCAGCCTGGGCAACATGGTGAGGCTGAGAGAGTTAAACTAGTTGGCTAGTTAAGACGGATGCTGGGTTTGAACCAATGCTGCGTGTCTCCCAGAGCCTCATTTCACCATGTACTATGAGGGCTTAGTCTACATGGCTTAGACTTGTCACAAAGCAAAAGCCGATAATGCCCAGCCCACCCCAGTACTGGGAGAAGGAGTGTTTGGCAAAGGTGAGATTTCATCAGCCTGGCGGGTAAACATGGCTGTTTGCAGACTAGTTGCGCTTGTCCTTTCCGCTGTCTGTAGTCATCCCTATGGTCCCCACCTTCCTCTCCCTCTGGGGTTGGCAGGAGAACGCAAGGGTTAATGATATAGCACTTCACCCTTGTGGGCTCCAGAGGAAATGAGGGAGCTCATGAGTTCTGCAGAGCTTTTGTGTCATCAGCCGGGGAAGGGAAGGCACCGTGGCTTGGCCAGATAAGCGGTGGCGCTGCGAATGTGGGGCTTCCTTGGCAGATTTGTAGCCTTTCCGCCTGTTTGCACTGTGGGGCACCTGCTGGGGCTTCCAGGGTGGTTGGGGACATCAACAGGGCATTCAGAAAACTGATAACCTAGGCTAGGGAGGGAGACCTACATGGAGCAGATGGAGGAGGAAGAGGGTGGCGGGCCCTGGTGTTCTGCAGGTGCATGTCTTCTGCTTGTTTGACCATGTGGGGGAAGGGGGTGGCGGTGGGTCAGGGAGCAAACATTTTTTTGATTTTCACAAACACCATCATATTCAGTCTTCTCTATCTCTATGGGGTAGGTGTTATTTGTTCCCATTTTAGAGATAGAGAAACTGAAACTTCCCCATGGCCACACATCTAGTGGTATATAATAGAGCCAGTCTTCAGACACAGGTCCATGTGACAAAGTCCTTTTTCCATTAGCCACACCAGGATGCCTCCCAGCAATGCTGGGTCATCACACCCACCCACCTGCCTCCGGAAGAGCTGGGCTGGCTGGGGAGGAGAATAGGGTGTGAGTCCTTCTCCCCCTTGCCCTGGGGGCAGGGAGGGAGAGGGACTCCTTCCTGCTTTAGGGCTCTTTCTCCTTACCTCCTTCCCTGAACATATATTCTGTACCAGATTCTGTAATTATACCTTATCTCTTACTCACAAAATAGTTCTTGGAATCTCTATTTTACACATGAAGAAATGGGGGTTTTGAGAGGTGAAGTCTTTCCCCCAACTTGCCAGAGCTGCCTGGGTTTCTTTTGACTAAGTTTTCCTTGGCTATGACTCAAGTCAGAAACAACTGCAATCCTGTAAGAGGTGAAGACAGTGGCCATTCTATCTCTGCTGGACCAGAGCCTGTTATTTTGCACCGAGGAGAGTGGCCAGGGCATCAGCTGATAAATGAAAGGATGTGGATTTAGACATCAGCGAGGCCTGAGTTCAAATGCTACTTCTGCTGGGCCCTCAGTAGGACGTTCTAGCCCCCGAGCCTTAGTCTTTGTAGTGTTCTTGTGAGGATTAAGCAGGAATGTGAATGAAGAGCCTTTCACTTAGTGCTTGCAGCCAAGTAAGTGCTGTAGCATTGCATGCTTGCTTTTTGCCTCCCATTCCTTTGGTCAGTATTCAGGGCTATCCCCCAAGGGGCCTTTGACATGGCCAGTCAGCCTCAGCTGCACAATTTCTGCATCTCCCAGCCCTAGGCTGGGCACTGTCCCTGCAGGAAGCCAGATGTGCTCACCTGTCCAGGACACAGGCTTGGCCTTGCCATTGGGAAACAAGGATGAGGCCTACCCCTGCCTTCTAGCACTGTTGGGGTGCAGGAGAACCTGGAGACAGGCTTGGGTTCTAGAGGCAGGAAGGCCTCCAGAGAAGGGCCTCCTAGAGACACTGTTGACCTCTTCTCGGTTTGGGACCTTCTGGAGGCACACATCACACTGGGAGCCTCAATGGCGCTTTCAAGCAGTCCCATCTGTCTCTTTCTCGACCCACTCACTGGGTTGGGAGAAGACTCAGGTGCCTCTGAGGCCTGAGGACCAGGTGGGAACATCACAGCTACAGTCTCTCCCTGGCCACTGTTTTCCTTTGTGCCCTTGGGCCAGGGTCAGCTGAGTCCCGGCAGCCACAGAAGCTCAGGCTGGACTGTGATTCTGTACCTGAGGTGCTGTGGGGAAGTGCCTCTTCTCCCATGCTTGGGAGTTGACCCAGCCTCTGTCTGATGTTGGCCACTCTACCAGGTGAATGCCACCCTGACCAGCCTGGAAACAGCCGAGGGAGTGTTGGCTGTGGCCCCCCTGAGCTGGGCTAGACCAGACCGGCCGTGCCCTGGATCTGATACCCCCCAGGGCTCACAGAGGCTGGAAAGGGTGAGAGGGACTCGCAGGAAAGCTTTGTCCCAAGCCTGCAGCCAGTCCAGCTCCCAGCTCTGAGTAAACATTAGAGATAGGATCGGGTGTAGCCAGGAAGGGTGGCAGGGTGTGGTCTGTGAGAAGAATGGCAGGATGTGGCACCGGGGCACTGTTCTGGGCACCCACGCCTTGGCCTATTGTTTAGGGCAGCCTGAGGTTCTCAGCTCTCTGGGGGCTTTCAGAGGAAGTGGCATTCCCCTGGGACTCAAGCCCTGCCCCACCCCTGCTGCATGGATCTCTTTCCCTGGTGATGCCCCTTGGCACCACCCACTCAGAGCAAGCTTGGGAGTGGGAGCCAGCAGTGGAGGGGGATTAGTGTGTGCCCAGCGGGGAAGTGTAGCCATTGGCCCTCTCAGAGGGTCTGCCTGTCTGTTCAGGCTTCCTGTACCCCAGGGTCTGAGTCACCCGTCATGCTACGATGACTGGAATTTATCTCTATCTTTATCTTCATCTAGATATTTTTTGTAGGGTGGGGGAAGGCTGTCGTTGTGGAGGGAGGAAGGACTGACAGTAAAAACTCCTTTGATTCCAATCCAACAGGGTCAGTTGTTGACTGGTTAGAAGAGGAAGTGGCTGGTGATTTGTTTTGGGCAGAAAGGGGCTAGGTTTGTGTGCGCCTGTGGGTTGGTGGGGTTCAGAGGGGCCGTGACAGGGCTGGTTGTGGGGAGGAGAGAGGAAGAGGATCGGCACCTGCAGCGGGCTTTGTCATATAAGCGCCATGCTTTGAGCCACTGTCCCTCCATGGAGGCGGGTGCCTCTCTATACCTTGTCTCAGGTGCTGGATTTGGGGGCCTCGGGGCCTGGTAGGCACAAGCTGAGACTCAAGGCTCTGCATGTCAAGGGCGAAGATGGCTGGAGCCCTCTCCTTAGAGGTCTTCACTTCTTAAGGATGCTCACTTGGGTGAGATAAGACCACAGAGGAAGAAGAATGGAAGAGGGATTGTGAGGTGGGTTCCTGAGAAGGAAGGGAGGGCAGAGCAGAGATGCCGCTTAGCGCCCCAGCTGGCTGAAGGCCTCTGACTCTGTATAATCTCTTTTTTTTTTGAGACAGAGTCTCCCTCAGTCACCCAGGCTGGAGTGCAGCAGTGCAATCTTGGCTCACTGCAACCTCCGCCTCCTGGGTTTGAGCGATTCTCCTGCCTCAGCCTCCTGAGTAGCTGGGATTACAGGTATGCACCACCATGCCTGGCTAATTTTTGTATTTTTAGTGGAGATGGGGTTTTACCATGTTGGCCAGGCTGGTCTTGAACCCCTGACCTCAGGTGATCAACCCGCCTCAGCCTCCCAAAGTGCTGGGATTACAGATATGAGTCCGGCCATTCTATACAGTCTTGAAGCAGTGCTGCCCCAAAAGCTGCGTGAACTCAACATCTCCTGACCTCAGTTTCTCTGTTTATAAAATGTGTTGAGGTTGGGCAAGAGAGGAAACTGGGCACGCAGGAGCACTTCCATCCAAGCGAGGGGCTGACGGGCTACCCTGTGGACTTGTGGCCTCTGACCAGTACCAAGGCATCAGACTAGGGTGGAAACTGAGGGAGCCCAGTAACTCCTGTATCCTGTGGACCCAGCGTTCTTTGGCTTCTGGGCATTTTGGGACAGTGGAGTTTGAGGTTACTGACCTTAAAACCTCCTGCGGAGCCACATGGAAAATGACTGAAGCAAGGAGCATGCTGTGTAACAAAGGAGTAAAGGAACTTGAGGGATTATTTTAGTTTCTGGAAAGTCTAAAGGGAGACTTAAGGGAGGACTCCAACGGGGTCTTTAAATCCAAAAAGTATGGAAAGTGTTTCTTATCCGACCCAAGGTAAAAAGAAAAGGAAATGGAATCGCTTTGCTGCTGGGGGTATTTAGGTAACTCATAGGAAGAGCTTAGACCCAAGGAAGAGGCAGCAGAGGATAATTGGGTGTGGGAGAAAAACCTGAGAGAGCAGGAGCTGTCTAATAGTCCTAACAGTATCCATCACCTGTTAAGCATCCAGACCTGCTTTGTGCTGTGCTGCTGAACTCTGTCACTCTCTTGTCATTCTAAGAATATTTATCGAGCACTTACTGTGTTTCAGGCACTGTGCTAGGCTCTGGAGCTACAGTGATGAGCAGAAACAGGTATATTTTTGGCTACTGGGTGACTCCAAAATAAATTTTTTTTTTTTTTTTTTGAGAAGGAGTTTTCGCTGTTGTTGCCCAGGCTGGAGTGCAGAGGCGTGATCTCAACTGACTGCAACTTCCACTTCCCAGGTTCAAGCAATTCTCCTGCCTCAGCCTCCCAAGTAGCTGGGATTACACACCTGACTAATTTTGTGTTTTTACTGGAGTCAGGGTTTCACCATGTTGGTCAAGCTGGTCTCAAACTCCTGACCTCAGGCGATCTGCCCACCTTGGCTTCCCAAAGTGCTGGGATTACAGCCGTGAGCCATCGCGCCCAGCGACTCCAAAATAAATTAAGCGTGTAAAGGTATCATTACCAATTGTGATAAATACTTTTAAGGTCAAGTTCAAAGTGCCATGAGAATGTAAAATAGGCACTCTGATAGGGTCTGGTGTTGTTAACAGGAGATTCACCTCTTGATGTTGAGTTTCTTATTCCTATTTTACTGAGGAGGAAATGGGCTCAGAGAAGTTAAGTTACTTGCCCAAGGTTGCACAGCAATGATTGGTCAGAGTTGGGATTCAAATGTACCCAAGTCTGTCTGACCCTAGAGGCTTTTCTCTCAACCACTTGACTCTCAGAGCATCCTGGACTGCGCACAACTTACAGAATAGATATTCACCCTGTATTATCTGATCTTCATGGACACCAGTGAGACATGGGTTATTGTACCCATTGTATGGATGAGGAGACAGGCTAAGGGAGGTTAATTAATTTGACTAGGTTCATACAAGTCAGCCTGTGGCAGGGCAGGAATTTAAACCCAGGTTGTTGGATTCAAACCCTGCGGGTCTTCCAAGTTGTCCCCTGACTCCCTCCAGGACCCTTGTTTTATAGACACAGCTTGCAGGGGTGAAGCAAACTGTGCAGACCCCCAGCTGCAGAGTGACAGAGCAGTGACCACATAATGACCCCTCTCTTTCCATCTCACTGCCTTTCCTCCCTTATCTAGTTGATCATGGGACCGTCGCTCCCCTCCCTGGGATGGTTAGGGTCTGGAGCCTGGTACTGATGCTCTTCACAGAGACACCTGCGTCTCTCTGGGCCATGGCAGGCTGGGGCTTGGTTCCCTCAAGACCAGACAGGGCAGGGAAAGCAGCTGCTCTTCTCAAGCAGGCCTGTGCTTGGGGAGGGGGAGAGGGAGGTAAAAGAGGTACCCAGGGACCCTCTCCCCCAAAGGTGAGACCCAGAGTTGCTCTCCATTGGGGGCGGGGTGGCATTGTGCCTGGGCTGTTGCCTTTTCATGGACAAGTGGGCCCAGAGGATACCAACTAAGGGCCAGTGCCCAGCACCTGCCGTTGAGCCAGACACCTGTGAGGATGGAAGGGCCCTTGTCTGGGCAGGGTTATCTGGTGGGCACCCAGCCCTAGTGAACAGACTGACACCTCTAAGCTGGCTTGGCTGGTCACCAGGAGCCATTGTCTTTGTGCTGGAGGCCAGGGTAGGCCACTGAGAGGCCCAGGAGACAGGCTCCCTAATATAAGGGTGATCCATGGTGCCTGGCTGGAGGGACCGTGGAGGCTAAGTGTGTGTAGAAGCTCAAAGGGAGGAGGTGTCCTAGTGCAGCGCTGTCCAACATAAATATAATGGGAACTACATGTGTAATATTTGCTAGTAGCTGTATTAAAAAGTATAAAAAGAAATAGGTGAAATGAATTTTAATGATGTATTTTATCTAACCAACTTATCCAAAAAGAATTTCAACTTGTAATCAGTAACCATTACTAATGAGCTATTTTACATTCTATTCCATGTACTAAGCCTTCAAAACCTGGGGTGGGTTTGATGCCCACAGCACATTTCTGTTGGGACTGGCTGCATTATAAGTGCTTAGTAGCCGCATGGGGCAAGTGGCTGCAATCTTGGGCCGTGCAGTCCTAGGGTTAATTAGGACAGATGATGGCCTCCTCTGCCTCCACCATCAGCTCCAGGGATGGATGGTCGTTCACCATCCCCAACTGGGGAGACCTTGGACTTTTGTGTCCTGTTCATCTGACCATGCTCCTGGAGGCTGTGGCTGCTGCTGGGATTTCTGGGCTGCAGCAGGAAGGCTTTGAGGTGGGAGCTGGAGGCCCCTGAAGTTGGGACAGAATGAAGGAGAGACCCTTAGGACCCAAGTCCGGAGTGAGGAGGGACCCGGTGGCCGGCCTGCGCCCGCAGTGGGTGTGAGTGAGGTGGCGCTGAGCCGACGGATCAGAGGCCCACAGGCCCGCATTGTGCGCCTGTCACACTTCCTTTGGCTTTATTGCTTTTGTCCAACACCCTATTGTCTGGCTTCCTTTTGTCCCCCATTCAGTGCTGCTGCCTTTTATTTTCCAGCCAGCCTGGTTGTTTTCATTTCTTTTGTCTGAAGTTCCTGAGAGGAAGGTTTTATTTTCAGCGGTTTGATTAATTCACAGCTTGAGCCCAGGGTTTGTTTGTTATGTAATTGCTGCCTTCGGCTTCAGGATAAAACCCCCTCCCCAACTGCACCCACTCCCACTTCTCGCCCCCCTGCTCTCGGCCTGGCTCTGAGCCCCTCCCGGTGCCCGGATGGGCTGAGCCGCCTGCTTTCTGGACGCTCTCCAAGCCCCTGGGCTGTAGGAGGGGACCCCAGGGTGAGCTGGCCTGGGGTCTCTTCTCTTCTCTGCATCTAGGTGGGATGGGGCCTTTGTACTTATGGTCATGGAGGCCCCTCTCTGCAGTGCCCTGTCTTGGGACCCAGCCTCTGGGGAACCCTACACTTTGAAAGTGGGTGAGCAGGAGAGTCTGGTCTGATCAGCAAGGTGGAATCAAATCAAATACACATGCACTCATGCACTGCTTGCCTACCAATGTCTCTGTCAACGACCGAACACATATAGGACAGTGGTCCTGCAAGATTCTACTACTGTATTTTTGCTGTAGCTTTTCTATATTTGGATGTTTGGATACACAAATACTTAACCATTGCATTACAATTACCTACGGTATTCAGTACAATAACATGCTGTACAGGTTTGTAGCCTAGGAGAAATAGGCTATACCATACAGCCTGGTGTGTAGTAGGCTGTACCATCTAGGTTTGTGTAAATATACTTTATGAGGTTTGAATAACAAAGAAATTGCCTGGTGATGCATTTCTCAGAACATGTTTATGCTATTAATTGATGTAGGACTGTATATAGTCATCCCGCTGTATCTGAGACGGTTGGTTCCAGGACCTCCAAAGATACTAAAATGTGCTGATGTTCAAGTCCCTGATATAGAATGGCATAGTATTTGCATATAACCTATGCACATCCTCCCGTATACCTTGTTTTTTATTTATTGTTATTATTATTATCATTATTATTATTTTTTTTTGAGACGGAGTTTCGCTCTTGTTGCCCAGGCTGGAGTGCAATGGCACCATCTCGGCTCACCACAACCTCCACCGCCCGGGTTCAAGAGATTCTCCTGCCTCAGCCTCCTGAGTAGCTGGGACTACAGGCATGCACCACCACACCCGGCTAATTTTGTATTTTTAGTAGAGATGGGGTTTCTCCATGTTGGTCAGGCTGGTCTCGAACTCCCGGCTTCAGGTGCTCCACCCGCCTCGGCCTCCCAAAGTGCTGGAATTACAGGCATGAGCCGCCGCGTCTGGCCAGTTGTTATCATTTCTGAGATAGGGCCTTGCTCTGTCACCTTGACAGAGTGGAGTGCAGTGGCTTAATCTTGGCAGCTTCAAACTGCTGGCCTCAAGTGAATCCTCCAGCCTCAGCCTCCTGAGTAGCGAGGACTATAGGCGCATGCCACCATGCCCAGCTAATTTTTGTATTCTTTTGTAGAGACAGGGTCTTGCTATGTTGCTCATGCTAATGGGCAACATAGCAAGACCCTGTCTCTACAAAAAAAATACAATACTCCTGGCCTCAAGCAATCCTCCTGCCTTAGCCTCTCAAAGTGTTGAGATTACAGGCATGAGCCCCTGTGCCTCTAGATTACTTATAATACCTAATATAATGTTAATCATATATAAATAGTTTTTGCACTATATTGTCTAGGGAATAATGACAAGTCTACTTGTTCAGTACAGATGAAATTTCTTTTTTAAATATTTTTGATCTGAGGTTGGTTGAATCCATGGATGTGGAACCTACAAATACAGAGGGCTGATTGTATATATTTTATTCAATTATAATGCTTATTTAAAATACTCTACATGTACTCTATTATATACAATGCGTGTTTCATAATACATAACAAACATTTTACAGAGTTGATGCAATCTATCCAAATGCATCCATACAGAGCTGATGCAGTATTTAAATACCATACTGCACCTGGGAGGTTTAAGGAATTTTTTTACTGTAGGGATATTTTTACTATATCTGATTTTAGCCTTACATACTTCCCCTAAACATCTAATCCCCATGCAAAAAAAAAAAAATCAAAAAATGTATTTAACAGTGCTTTTCTAACTAGTGCATATCAAAATCACCTGGAGGTCTTGTTAAACCTGATCCCTGGCCTAACTCCCAGAGATTCTGATTTGTGGGAGGGACTTATGACTTTGCCTCTCAAACAAGCCCCCAAGGCATGCTGAAGCTGCTGGTCCTTATACTGCATTCCAACTAGTAGTGGTTTAACAAACACCAGATCATGTGATGTTATTTGGAAATGTGATAAACAAGGAAACAACAAAACACCAGATCGGTGCTTACTGGTGCCACAAACTATTCTAAGTACCATATAAATATCAACTCCTAGTCCTCACGGCCATCCTATAGTGTAGAGACTCTTACCATGCTCATTTTACAGATGAGGAAACTTGAAGTACAGAGCAGCTAAGCAACTTGCCCTAGGTCACTTGGCTAGTCAGTAGCTGAGGCAGGACCCATGCATAGCTGGAACCTGCTGTGTTCCCACTAGAACCCAGAGCGCATCTCTGTGACTTTGGAGGATAGGCATCTGCTGCTCCGCCCAAGCCTGGCATGACCCCTGGAAACCACTCCCTGAGATGCTGCGATTGCTCAGCTCCTCAGATGTCCCAGGCAGTGATGTGACAGGAAAGGAACAGCAGGTGCAGAGTCTCAAGAGGGTCTGCCAGGTATACCAGCTGCTTAAACTAGGAACTGCAAACTCAGATGCCTATGGTGGCCAGACTCTGAGAGATTCTAGCTAGATACCGGAAAATATTTTTCGTAAAGCCAATCATCTCAGTCTGTTATTCCCCCCACCCCCGCCCTTTATTTTTTTAAAGAGATGGGAGTCTCATTAGGTTGTCCAGACTGGCCTCAAACACCTGACCTCAAGTGATGTGCCTTCCTCAGCCTCTTGAGTAACTGGGATTACAGGCATGAACCACCATACCCGGCTATTTCCCCCCGTGTGATAGATGCATGAAGCAAGAAATCATTTACTTTTACCTTATCTCCACTGTAAGAAGAAGACTATATGTCTTATATATAGAAGAATATATGTCTTATATAGTTAATACTTGGTTTCCTTTTTGAGGAGTAGTAGGAGTGTAGAGGCTAAAGTAGACTGGCCTGTCCATAAGAAATACCCATTACTCAATTCCAGCCAATTTTTACCACAAAAACAATTGAGCTAGAAGTTCAAATCTAGATTTTTATGTGTTATCTCTTGATTTTTAAGTATTGGTAACTAATTATAAAAATGCATTTGTAGGCTGGGCGTGGTGGCTTACGCCTGTAATTCCAGCACTTTGGGAGGCTGAGGCGGGCAGATCACCTGAGGTCAGAAGTTGGAGACCAGCTTGGCCAACATGGCAAAACCCCATATCTACTAAAAATACAAATATTAGTTGGGGGTGGTGGCGTGTGCCTGTAATTCCAGCTACTCGGGAGGCTGAGGCAGGAGAATCACTTGAACCTGGGAGGCGGAGGTTGCAGTGAGCCGAGATCGTGCCCTTGCACTCCAGCCTAGGTGACAGAGTGAGACTCTGTCTCAAAAAAAAAAAAATGCATTTGTATACATACAAACATGCACAGACACATGCACACATGCGTGCACACACACACACACACACACACACACTTTCTCTCTCTCGCTGTCGCTCTCCAACTCTGTTGGGCTCAGAAACAGCCAGTCAGTATCTGGCCTCGTTAGTTGGGCCGTCAGTCCACTAGTCCCGTAGTCCCAAGCATTACACAGGCAGCTGCTGCGCAAGGGTAGGCCCACTCTTCTCTAGAACTTTTTGTTTAAAAAGCAAAAAACAAAACAAAAAAGCATGAGGGATACAAGAGGCTTTGCTGATTTTTCTGTGGGTTCACAAGTAAGCTTGCCCTTTCTGTGAGTGTGCCCATGTGACAGGCACCAGGAGGCACTTGGGTGGGGTCAGGGGAGCAAACAGTAGGGTCACTGCCTCTGGGCAGAAGTTTACGACTGGGGACTCACCTCAGCTCACTCTGTCCCTCCCCCAGGATGTCCATGAGGAGCCCCATCTCTGCCCAGCTGGCCCTGGATGGCGTTGGCACCATGGTGAACTGCACCATCAAGTCAGAGGAGAAGAAAGAGCCTTGCCACGAGGCCCCCCAGGGCTCAGCCACTGCCGCTGAACCTCAGCCTGGAGACCCAGCCCGGGCCTCCCAGGATAGTGCTGACCCCCAAGCTCCAGCCCAGGGGAATTTCAGGGGCTCCTGGGTCAGTGTCCCCGCCCTGCCTCCATCCTCACACCCATGCGCTGTACCTGGGCTCTCTGCTCGGCTGGGCAGGCCCACTCCCCTAGATGGCAGCAGATACAGGCAGAAGTGGTGATCCTAGGGGTAAGACGCCATGTAGGGAAGCAGGGAGGCACTGCCAAGTTCAGTCTGAGGCTGGAAGCGGGGTCACCTATCAGAGCAGGACCTAGACTCATGCCTGTACTTACTCGCTTGATAGTGACAGTTCACCTATGTGTGACCCAGTCCTTGCTTCTGAGGACTAGATGGGGAGATGGGACACACATGCTAAAGTTTGGCTTTAAAGTAATCTACCAGATTTTTCAGATGATTTGGGAAAATCAACCTGATTACACAAGCAAGAATTAGGTCACTGTTAAAGATGATACGGTTCTTGACCCTTAAAAAAACAAGAGAATTGAGCTGCATGATTCATAAGGATTCTTGCAGCTCCTAAAAATTCTGATTTCACATATGAGATGTAAAAAGGTGATATATAATTAAAATCCAAATAAGTGAAAATGAGGAGAGTTATGGGCTCTAAGAAAGAATCCAGCCTGGAGGAAGGAGGTGGGGGGTGGGGGCACTGGTGATCAAGGAAGGCTTCCTGGAGAAGTAGAGCCTCAAGCTAGGCCTTAAAGGATGGGGAGGACTTTGACGAGAAGAGGAGTGAGGCAGGCAGTGGGGAGTGTGAGTAACTTTTGCCAGCCCCTACCTGCTCCCCTATGCAGCCCAGCTGGTGTAGTGGGTATGTTCAAGGGAGTGATAACTAATAGCTGACTTTTGGCCCCTGATTGTAATGGCAAATCTCATTCACATGCATTAACTCCCTTGATCCCAGCAACAATCCTGTGACAGAGGAGGTATTAATATTTCCATTTTCAAAAGAGGG
Source organism: Homo sapiens (assembly GCF_000001405.40). NCBI lineage: Eukaryota > Metazoa > Chordata > Mammalia > Primates > Hominidae > Homo > Homo sapiens. Next base: position 204,114,044 of record NC_000001.11, read on the forward strand.
AAGTCAGGTTCAGAGCATTTCAGGGACTTGTGTGGGATCAAGCATCGTGTGAGTCACTGAGCCTGGACTGAAACCCAGGTCTTTTGTTTTGAAATCTTCTGTTCTTTTCCTAAACAAAGCTTGGGCAGGTGGAGGCCAAAGGGACCTAGTGAGTGGAGAAGTAGGACTTGGATAGGGCTGGGATCCCTCAGGGTACACATCTTTGGGGTGCCCAGCCCTCCCTGCAGCCTGTCCCCTTCTCTTGGGGGTTATGGTGACAATTCAGTATGTCTTGCAGGACTGTAGCTCTCCAGAGGGTAATGGGTCCCCAGAACCCAAGAGACCAGGAGTGTCGGAGGCTGCCTCTGGAAGCCAGGAGAAGCTGGACTTCAACCGAAATTTGAAAGAAGGTAGGATGTCTGCCCTAGTTAGAAGCAGAGGCCTGAGGCAGGGAGGTGTTAAGACGGTTATTCCTCACCCCTTTGCTGTCTTCCAGTGGTGCCAGCCATAGAGAAGCTGTTGTCCAGTGACTGGAAGGAGAGGTTTCTAGGAAGGAACTCTATGGAAGCCAAAGATGTCAAAGGTGAAGGCCTGTTGGGGGTGGGGGAGATGTTTGAACCCCATCTCTCTTCTCCTGGTCTGGCCACGCAGCCTGGCTCTGTAGGGCAGTTCTTGGTACATACCTATCCTGTGCCATCTGGCTCCTGCCTGGCCTTAGGGGTCATCACCATCCCTCGCCTGGAGGCCCCAAGCATTAGGTCTCACTCATCCCATGCAGGAGAGGCCTGGTAGGAATCAAATCCCATGACTCTGAATCTGGGCTCTCACCAGGCACCCTTGTGACTTCAGGCATGTCATTGCCACTTCCCGAGTCTAACCGCAAAATGAGCAGAAAGTTCCCTTTCACTCTAATTAATTCTAGGTCAGTTGGACCTCACTAAGTGAGTGAAAAGTAGTTACTAATGGGCTGCTGCTTGGGTTCCTTAGAGTGATTTTTTTTTTTTTTTAAGATACAGTCTCCCTGTGTCGCCCAGGCTGGAGTGCAGTGGCACAATCTTGGCTCACTGCAGCCTCAACCTCCTGCATGATCCTCCTATCTCAGCCTCCTGAGTAGCTGGGAACACAGGCACCTGCCACCAAGCCAGGCTAATTTTTATATTTTTTTTGTAGAGATGACGTCTTACTATGTTGCCCAGGCTGGTCTCGAACCCCTGGGCCTAAACAGTCCTCCCACCTTGGCATCTCAAATTGCTAGGATTGCAGGCATGAGCCACCCACTGCACCCAGCCAGAATGATCATTTTTGCATTGTCATTGATCACACCCACAGAGGGAACTTTAAAACCGTACAGATGCCCAGGCTCCACCCCCACCTATTGAATGGGAACCCCAGGGTATGGTAGGGGCCTGGGCCTCTATACTTCTCAAAGGATCCATGAGTGATTCCGATGTTGTTTTTTTTTTTTTTTTTAAAAAAAAAAAAAAAAAAAAAGGTCTATGGCCAGGCACTCAGGAATAAACTGCTGCATCAGACAGGAGCTAAACTGGAGGTCAGGGGGACACTAACATTTATTGGTTGAGGACCATGTGCCAGATCCTGGACTAAGAGCTTTGCATATATTAGCGCTTCTTCTTCTTTTTTTTTTTTTTTTTTTTTTTTTGGAGAGAGACAGCTCGCTCTGTTGCCCAGGCTGGAGCGTAGTGGTGTGATTTCGGCTCACTGCAAAGTTCACCTCCTGGGTTCAAGCGATTCTCCTGTCTCAGTCTCCCAAGTAGTTGGGATTACAGGTATGCGCCACCATACCCGGCTAATTTTTGCATTTTTGTAGAGATGGGGTTTTACCATGTTGTTCAGGCTGGTCTCGAACTCCTGACCTCAAGTGATCCACCTGTCTCGGCCTCCCAAAGTGCTGGGATTACAGGCGTGAGCCACCACACCTGGCCTCTATTAGCTCATTTATCCCTCATAGTAACCCTCTGAGGTGATTATTATTATGCCCACTTACCAAGATTTTGAAAACCCTAAAGTGCAGAGAAATTGGTAACTTGCCTAACAGCTCACAGACAGGATGGGTTGAAATGGGAATTTGACCCCAGACCTGTCTTGCTTCAAAGCCTGAGTGTGTCCCACTGGATCCCTCCGATGGGATGGTTGTCCACCCTGACCCTGTGTGGCGCTGAGCACTCGAGGACATTGAAGAGGCCTGGGGCTCTGGGGCTGACATGTCCCACTGTCAGCATTTTCAGGGGGCCTGGAATTCATGGCTAATAGGGGAGAACTTCTAGGCTAGTAGTTGCCAGGTAGCAACATGAAGAGCCCCCTTCAAGGCAAGCATCTTGTGTCATCATCTCTGTGGCTCAGCCCCTAATGGTCCTGGGACATAGCAATTGCTCAATAAGTTTCTGATGGATGGGTGGATAGATGGATGGATGTATAGATGAACAAGTAAAAAGTCTCAATGGGGTCTGTTTCACTGTGGAGCAGGGACCCAAGAGAGCCTAGCAGAGAAGGAGCTCCAGCTTCTGGTCATGATTCACCAGCTGTCCACCCTGCGGGACCAGCTCCTGACAGCCCACTCGGAGCAGAAGAACATGGCTGCCATGCTGTTTGAGAAGCAGCAGCAGCAGATGGAGCTTGCCCGGCAGCAGCAGGAGCAGGTAGGTCCTGTTCGGTGGGTGTAGCTTTCTTTCCAGGAAAAGGAGTGTGTCAGGACCTAGAGAAGGCTGCCTTAGGGACAGGCCTCACCAGTGCAAGCTGGGGCCTGGGGGCAGGCTGGGCAGGGTCTGTGGCCAGGGGCTGTAGGATTCCCACCTGGACTGATTCATGAGCCCTTGTACAGGGTTAGGGGTGGGAGGGTATGAAAGGGACTCTGCAGGAAGAGCAGCTTGCAGCTTCCTGCCCAGCCTCCTGGTCCTGGAGGGAGGGATGAGCTTCCTGCAAAAGGAGAACCAATTCTGAGGGCTGACTGCTTTGCTCCCTACTGCCACCCCACTCCATGGCTTGCCCCACTGTAGAAAGCAGGGTGTGGTTAGGGCTGGGCAGACTGGGCACCAGGGCTAATGTCCGTGACCCCCTCTGCCTACTCTTTCCCTCTCCCAGATTGCAAAGCAGCAGCAGCAGCTGATTCAGCAGCAGCATAAGATCAACCTCCTTCAGCAGCAGATCCAGGTAACCGGAGGGGAGACCCGGAGAGGCACAGGAGGCAGTTGAGGGAGTTGACACCGGCCTGGAGGGTGCTGGGGACAGGGGATGTGCACCAAGTTAAAGAGCCAGAGCAGAATCACTCAGGCCTGACCTGAGGAGGGTTATTTCTATTCTAGCCCCCAACCTGTCTTCCTTCCCTGATTAAAGGGAGGAGCCCGGCATGTCTTCCTCCCCAGCTGAGACCTGAGGGCAGGTAGACAGGGGCCCACAGAGTTGGCCTAGGGTCAAAGGGATCCTTTGGAAAACTGTCCCTGCTTTATCCCCTGTGCCTCTTGTCCATGGGTCCATTCTCTGTGCCATGGGCTGACCATAGCTGGGTAGCTCTTTGGGTCCCTGGGGACTCACACAGGGTTTCTTTGCCTTCAGCAGGTTAACATGCCTTATGTCATGATCCCAGCCTTCCCCCCAAGCCACCAACCTCTGCCTGTCACCCCTGACTCCCAGCTGGCCTTACCCATTCAGCCCATTCCCTGCAAACCAGGTGAGTGTGAGAAGGGAGGTTCCACCACTGCGGCCAGCCTGTCCTGAGGTCAGGGAAAGCGCCCTGGAGCCACTCTCATCCATTAATTTGCTATGTGGACTTTCTGGGCCTCAGTTTTGGATCTGTCTGGTAGAAGAATCATCCTCTTTTTCTGAATCTTGCTGAATTTCTCTGAACTTCACTGGGAGAATGAAAAACCATAAAGCCCTTTCCAGATGTAAAATGATGTAGCAATCCAGGTCTAGTCTCTCCAACTCTAGTACATTTACTGTGTCAGAGTATTAATATCTGGAATATTGCCAGGTGTGGTGGCTCACGCATGTAATCCCAGCACTTTGGGAGGCCGAAGTGGGTGGATCACTTGAGGTCAGGAATTCGAGGCCAGCCTGGCCAACATGGTGAAACCCCATCTTTACTAAAAATACAAAAATTAGCTGGGTGTGGTGGTGCATGCCTGTAGTCCCAGCTACTCAGAAGACTGAGGCAGGAGAATCGCTTGAACCTGGGAGGTGGAGGTTGCAGTGAGCTGAGATCATGCCACTGCACTCCAGCCTAGGTGACAGAGCGAGACTCCATTTCAAAAAAAAAAAAAAAATCTGGAATATTAACTGGGTTTTACAAATCTCCCAAATTCTTTTTTGTTTGTTTGTGTTTTGTGTTTTGAGACAGAGTCTTACTTGTTCTGTCACCTGGGCTCTGGAGTGCAGTGGTGTAATCTCAGCTCACTGCTGCAGCCTCCACCTCCCATGTTCAAGCGATTCTCCTGCCTCAGCCTCCTGAGTAGCTGGAATTGCAGGTGCACACCACCATACCTGGCTAATTTTTGTATTTTTAGTAGAGACGAAATTTCGCCGCGTTGCCCAGGCTGGTCTCCTGACCGCAAGTGATCCTCCCGCCTCAGCCTCCCAAAATGCTGGGATTACAGGCGTGAGCCAACATCTCCCAAATTCTAACAGCCACGATTCCTACCTTCACACTCTTGTCCCTGCCTACACCATGTCACTCTGGCCTTCTACCCCATCACTGAAATTCAGCAGAATGGCCATGTGTCAGACAAGGGTGTGGGACCTGACGGTACAGGGCAGTTGGGGAGGGAGCATGGAGTCTGGGATTTATTTTGTAGGCTGTGGGGTGCATGTGAACATTTGAGAAGTGAGTGTGTCGTTCTGGCTTTGAGGGGTGGGGAGTGGAGGGGAGACTGGCCAGAAGCAGGACCTGCTAGGTGATTCTAGCAGCAGGGGATGATACCTGAACTAGGGCAGTGACAGAGAGTTATGGGGACAGGGCAGAGATGCTGCCCATAATTACCCCAGGAGTGTGGACAGCTTTAAAGGCAACACGTGCTAGATCATCCTCCCTGTTCCACAGGCGAGAAAGAGAGAGAGAAGAGGAAATTCCCTGAGGCCTATAGGCCATGGGCTTGGGTAGACTGCTCAGCCCCACTGGCTCTCTGCTCCTGCCTGGTTTGTGCCGGGCACTGTAGGGTGGTGTGAAGGGGAAACACAAAGGACTGAGAAAGCCAGGCCCCATCTTCATCCATTCAGGGGCTGTAGAAAGACACCATGGACCGTGTGGCTCATAAACAACAGATGTTATTCCTCACATACAGTTCTGGGGGCTGTGAATTCCAAGATCATAAAGCCAGCATATTTGGTGTCTGGTGAGGGCTGACTTTCTGGTTCACAGATGGCGTCTCTCACTGTGTCCTCAGGTGGTGAAAGGGGTAAACGGGCTCCCTCAGGCCTCTAATCTCATTCCTGAGGGCTCCACCCTCATGACCCAGGCACCTCCCAAAGGTCCCACCTCCTAAGTCTATCACATTGGGAATTAGATTTCAACATAGGAATTGGGGTGGGGGAGGCACATTCAGACCATAGCATTCTGCCCCAGACTCTCCCCAGTTCATTTTCTTGTCATATGCAAAATATATTCATTCCATCCCAATAGGCTCCCAAATCTTAACTTGTTCCAGCATCAGTTCAAAAGTTTCAAGTCCAGAGCCTCATCTAATCTCACCTAGGCCAGGCACAGTGGTCATGTCTGTGATCCCAGCACTTTGGGAGGCTAAGGCAGGAGGATTGCTTGAGGCCAGGAGTTCAAGACCAGCCTGGGCAACAAAGTGAGACCCTGTCTCTACAAAAAAAAAAAAAAAGCCTGGCATGGTGGCCTGTGCCTGTGGTCCCAGCTACTTGGGAGGCTGAGGCAGGAGGATTGCGTGAGCCCAGGAGGACAAGGCTGTAGTGAGCTGTGTCTGTACCACTGCACACCCTCCTGGGAGACAAAGCGAGACATACAGAGTGAGGCCCTGTCGCAAAACAGACAAAAATAATAATAAATCTCACCTAAATCAGTTATAGGTAAGACTCAAGGTATAATTCATTCTGAAGCAAATTCCCCTTCAGAACTGAGGCATGAATTTCTGAGGTCTGTAAGCTGTCCAGTTTATGGCACTTTGTTTCAACAGCCTGAGTAGACTAAGACAGGCCCAATGTGGAAGTTTCCAGTTAGCTGGGGGAATGGGGAGTGGAGAAGGTTGAAGGTGGAGGACAGGGCAATTCCAAACCATTGCAACTCCCCATGAGTGTGGAGGAGAGCTGTGGAGGCAAGGGGACAGTGATCTGGTCGGGGATAGGACCCCCAACTGCTTTCTGGGCAGGTAAGGCAGTAAATAAGCTGTGGGAGCCCGGGACTGGCATGGCTGCCTCCCACTTTGTTTGCTCCAGAAATTAAGCAAGCAAGGTCCCTTGCAAAAGCTGACTGTAAACAGTGGCCCTCCCCAGCTCACAAGCCTTACATGGTGCTCTGTACCCACAGCATGGGCTCCGTACTCCTGACCTCGGCCTTCATGGGCCTCGGGGCCAACCTGGCCCCCATGGCCTGCCTCATTCCCCACAGCTCACCCTCACACACCCCACCACTCCATCTCTACTTGCCCAAATCCTGCCCATCCTGCAGGCACTAGCGCACACCTCGGCTCCCACAGGGAGCCTGCTCTAGTTACCCCAGCTGGAGCAGAGTTTGCTGGTGCTCTGTCTGTGTGGCCCTCATCACCACCTGCCATGCACTTCATGATTTCTACATGTGGCCTATCTCTCCACCTGGATGCTGGGCCTGGGAGTGAGGTAGGGTAGGCAGGAGTGCCATGTCGAGAAGAAGGAAAGGCTGTGGAGTCTAGAGGCCCTGGGTTCAAATCCTGATGCTGCCATTTCATAGCTCTGTGGACAACCCATTTTTCTTCTTATTTTTATTTTTTTAGTTTTGAAAATTTTAAATTCTTTTTTTTTTTTTTTGAAACAGAGTCTCGCTCTGTCCCCCAGGTTGGAGTGCAGTGGTGCAATCTCGACTCACTGCAACCTCCGCCTCCTGGGTTCAAGCGATTCTCCTGCCTCAGCCTCCTGAATATCTGGGATTACAGGCGCGTGCCACCGCACCCGGCTAATTTTTGTATTTTTAGTGGAGATGGGGTTTCACCATGTTGGTCATGCTGGTCAGGGTGGTCTCGAACTCCTGACCTTGTGATCCACCCACCTTGTCCTCCCAAAGTGCTGGGATTACAGGCGTAAGCCACCACGCCTGGCTTCAATTCTTAATAATAGAGATGGGGGTCTTGCTATGTTGACCAGATTGGTCTTGAACTCTTGGCCTCAAGCAGTCTTTCTGCCTCAGCCTCCCAAAGTGCTAGGCATGAGCCACCACACCCAGCCCCATTTGACTTCTAAGGTTTTCATTTCTTTTTCTGTAAAATGGGATGATGATGTATTCAGCCCCTGTTATATATCACATACCATGTATTATTGTCAGATGATACATATGAGACGTTCTACACAACAGGCAGCCGCTTTTGTGCCCTGTGCCCAGTAGGTACAAAATAAAAGTAGCTGTTGGATGAATAGGTGTTTTACCCTCTCTCATTGTGCCATTGGATGGGACTCTAGAATCTGGGAAACTCTATTTAGAGTGGGTTGGGAAGGGCGGGAACCCAGTGAAGATGCCAGTCAGTGTGCAGGGGCAGTGTGGAGTGAGGGGATAGGAGCCTCCAAGCAGTGCTTTGGGGCTGGGGAGGGCAGTGGTTGGAACCAAGCTGGTCCAGTGCCGAGCCATTGCCCATCTTGTGGTGCTGGGACCTCGTCAAGCAGGGTGTCTGCTGTTCTGTGCTCATCCAGGACTTTTCTCCTTGCTGCCTTTTCCATAGTGGAGTATCCGCTGCAGCTGCTGCACAGCCCCCCTGCCCCAGTGGTGAAGAGGCCTGGGGCCATGGCCACCCACCACCCCCTGCAGGTACCGCCCTCTACCCACTGGCCTGGGGCTCCCTCTCGAGCTTATGACGGCCGGCTGCCGTGTTAGGGAACTGCGGGGTGTGGACTGGTGAGCCCTGGCATCCTGTGTTCTTGTTCACCCGCTCCTTCTGCGTCCACTTTTCTGTCTGTCTCCTTGTGTGTTCTGGGTATGCTCACCTCACTTCCTCTCTGTCCTGCTGTGGGAGTGTCCTTTGGTGTCTGTCATCCTCTGACCTGCTGGGTCTCCCTCAGGAGCCCTCCCAGCCCCTGAACCTCACAGCCAAGCCCAAGGCCCCCGAGCTGCCCAACACCTCCAGCTCCCCAAGCCTGAAGATGAGCAGCTGTGTGCCCCGCCCCCCCAGCCATGGAGGCCCCACGCGGGACCTGCAGTCCAGCCCCCCGAGCCTGCCTCTGGGTAAGCCTCCTGCTGCCTGCACTTGTCCCTCAGCCCTCTTAGGGGAGAGCCGGCGGCATGATGCGACCTTGAGCAGGTCCCTTCTCCTCCCTGGGTTCCAGATTTTATCAAATGAGGGGTTAGACTTGCTCTTAGCAGAAGATCCCCTTCTTCCTCTCCCTCATCATATCTGTCTGGGCATTCCAAGCATCAGGGATTCAGGCCAGAGTCACATAGTTCCAGGGGGTACTGTTGTCATTTCTAGTCTATTGACATGCACAATAACTAGCCAGTGTAAGTGGCATATCCCTGAGGACATGCAATGCAGCCGCCCTGTGGAAGAACAGGAGGGAACACTAACTCAGGTGCCTCATGGGAGTGGCATGGCGGGAAGCTGATGGAGTTTGGGCTCATGCTGGGCTGATGCCCTCAGCTTCTCTCGCTTCTCTTCCCTCTCTTCTGCCCTCTCCCACAGGCTTCCTTGGTGAAGGGGACGCTGTCACCAAAGCCATCCAGGATGCTCGGCAGCTGCTGCACAGCCACAGTGGGGCCTTGGATGGCTCCCCCAACACCCCCTTCCGTAAGGTATGGTCCCCCACTCCCTTGAGCCTAGGGGCAGCAACAGATGGTGGCCAGGAGTGGAAGACACAGTCTGAGGCCACCAAGAGAGGAGCATGGGGAGGAGTGGGGTGATGCAGAGGAGGCTGATGTCAGGTTGCCCCTGTCAACCTAGGACCTCATCAGCCTGGACTCATCCCCAGCCAAGGAGCGGCTGGAGGACGGCTGTGTGCACCCACTGGAGGAAGCCATGCTGAGCTGCGACATGGATGGTGAGGGCTCAGGCGCAGGGCTGATGCGCAGGAGGGCCCAACTCTGTATTCCACCAGGGCCAGGGCTGTGTCTGCCTCTGATCTCTTCCCTCCCTTGGTCTGTTGGGTCCTTTCCAGGTGTGTGTGCCTCTGCTGTCCCATTATGTGTCTGTCGGCTCTGTCTCTGAGTCTGCTTTCCTAAGTTTTGTGACTGCTGAGTTTCTGCTCTCTCTTGAGGCCATACCGCTGTGATTTTCTTGTGTGTCTGTCTCTGGTTCCCTGGCTGGGCCTCTGCGGATAATTTGCTGTTTCTTCTGCCCCATCTGCTCCTGCCTTGCTCCTCCTCGGCTGGCTGCTGTGGGAGCCTCCTCAGTGCCTCCTGCTGGTCAAGTAGGGGACGTCTCTCTGCTGGCCCTGGGGCACTCTCCTGACCCCAGACAGGCTGCTTGGCTGACTTCACTCCTGTCTCCCAGGCTCCCGCCACTTCCCCGAGTCCCGAAACAGCAGCCACATCAAGAGGCCCATGAACGCCTTCATGGTGTGGGCCAAGGATGAGCGGAGGAAGATCCTGCAAGCCTTCCCAGACATGCACAACTCCAGCATCAGCAAGATCCTTGGTAAGGGCCAGTGGCTGGGGCCATGGTTCAGTGTGACCTGGTTGCAGGAGCCAGCTGGGTCTATTCAGGGCTTGCTTGGTGATATTCCATACTGTGTTGGACTCCAGTGGAATCTGACGACAGGGGTGCAGGAGTTGCTGGGGATGTGAGGGCAGCTGGGTCCTGGGGTCTTATATCACTGAAGTGTTCGGTAGCACCTGTCCTCAAGAACTCAAGGAGTGTGCGTGTGTGTGTGTTTACATTCTTTAGTACTCCTGATCTAAACCTAACCTGTTCCACTGTTTGTCCAGACCCTTGCTCTGGCAGAAAACAGGAGAGACTAGTGTTCCTGGGCTGTCACTAGAAAGATTTTTTTAAATTATATGTCCTGATTGGTGGCCACGGAGGGATGTTGGGCAGGGCAGATGGAGCTCGAGGGGCCAGTTGTTTTCAAGACTGAGGCTCCTCCAGTGTCAGCGCAGGACTCTGTCAACTGAGACATCAGGTATTTTGTCCTGAGCAGGGAGCCTGTCTGGGTTGTTGAAGGTCTGAGGTGGCTGCTCTTTTGTTTATGCAAATCAGGCAGGCCAGAGGCTCAAGGAAGTTGCTGGATTGTTAGGAACATGGGTGGGTACTGAGTCTTAAGCTGGCAGTTGGATATCCCTATACAGGCCAACTTCATTCATTTGCCCAATATCCAAGGAGCACCCGTATCGGGCCAGGCCCTTGCTAAGTGCTTGCACATATATTATCTTATGGACCCACCTGGGGATCAAGGTCTTCTCAGGTCCTGCATGGGGCTGGGGGTGGTCAGCAGAGCCCAGCACTGACTGCCTGCCCCTGGGGGGTTGGGTCAGGATCTCGCTGGAAGTCCATGACCAACCAGGAGAAGCAGCCCTACTATGAGGAACAGGCGCGGCTGAGCCGGCAGCACCTGGAGAAGTATCCTGACTACAAGTACAAGCCGCGGCCCAAGCGCACCTGCATCGTGGAGGGCAAGCGGCTGCGCGTGGGAGAGTACAAGGCCCTGATGAGGACCCGGCGTCAGGATGCCCGCCAGAGCTACGTGATCCCGTGAGCAGGCCCCCCCGCAGGCAGCCAGGAGACTGTGTGTACATGTGTAGCTCTCATGAGTGGCTGGGTGTCAGTGTGTGGCCTGCCTTTGTGTGTGACCCCAGGGGTGCTGTGTGTATGCGTACGTGTGTGTGTTATCTGTGTATAGCTGAGCCTGCACGTGCGACCCGACTGTGTATGGCTATGTATGTGACTGTGGTGAGCACTCAGTGGCTGAGGATGTAGGAATGTGACTGGAGGACTGGCCACGTGGACCTGGAGAAAGTGCCTGTAGATCCCACGGCCGATAAACTCAATAGAAATTCAGAGGTGCTAGAAATCAAAGTATTCATCACACAGAAAGGTTCCTGACTTGACTAAAGCAAGCACCCTAGTCTATTCCTTTAAACAGGACATCTCCCAGGGCATTTAAAATATACAATTTCTGCCTGGTATAGTGACACACGCCTGTAATGCCAACACTTTGGGAGGCTGAGGCAGGAGGATCCCTTGAGCTCAGGAGTTTGAGACCAGCCTGGGCAACATAGTGAAACCTCATCTTTAAATAAAATTAGCCAGGTGTGGTGGTTCACACCTGTAGTCCCAGCTACTCAGGAGGCTGAGGCAGGCTCAGGAGGATCACTTGAGCCTGGGAGGCTGACGCTGCAGTCAGCTGTGATTGTACCACTGTTCTCCAGCATGGGTGACAGAGCATGACCCTGTCTCTAAATATAAGTAAACAAAACATAAAATATACAAGTTCTAAAAACTGGATTCACACATGATCCTCCAAGAATATTATCTGTTGAACACATCTATGGCCCTAGGTCTGCAGGTCATCTGCAGGGTCGTAGGTGCCAGTGAATTTGGCCATCAGAAAGCAGGCTGGGGGCAGGGTATATAAGTCACAGCCAAGAGTGTGTGGAGTGGGAGTGCATGCTCTGAGGAGGCCTGGAGGGGAGATGGGTTTGGGGTTGAATCAAGTGTGCATCCATCACCGTTCCCCTTCTCTGCCCCACAGCCCGCAGGCTGGCCAGGTGCAGATGAGCTCCTCAGATGTCCTGTACCCTCGGGCAGCAGGCATGCCGCTGGCACAGCCACTGGTGGAGCACTATGTCCCTCGTAGCCTGGACCCCAACATGCCTGTGATCGTCAACACCTGCAGCCTCAGAGAGGAGGGTGAGGGCACAGATGACAGGCACTCGGTGGCTGATGGCGAGATGTACCGGTACAGCGAGGACGAGGACTCGGAGGGCGAAGAGAAGAGCGATGGGGAGTTGGTGGTGCTCACAGACTGATCCCGGCTGGGTGGGCCTGGCCCCTTCTCCTCTGGGGAAGACCTTGTCCCAACTCGATGGGCACAGCCAGCCAACCTAAGACTATGTTGGTACTTGGACTTGTTCGTGCCCCAGAGATGGGCAAAGCTGTGCACTTGCAGATACATTCATGAGGGGAGAGGCGCCCTCCCTTCCTGAGGAGCTGTTGGCCTGGGTGGGCAGGAACTGCAGTATGGCCATGGGCTGAGCAGGCTGAGCACCTCAGCCTTTAGGGCTTATGGCCAGGGGACACTGTATGACTCTCCTCTCCTGCAGGTGTCTATCCACCTGGGGTATGGCATCTACCGACCTGTCTCCCTGGGGTCACATGCTTTGTTTCCATTCTTGTCCTGGCTGGACCAGCCACTGTGGGACCAACACCCCTCCCACACTCCCCCAGACTGCTCGTCTATCACCAGGATCGCTTTGTACTTTGTGCAAAAGGGTCTGGCTGTCCCTTGCTGTTTTCATCTCTGCCAAGCCTATTGTGCCTCTGGCTGCTGTATGTGTGCGCGTGCACGTGTGTGTGTTTCATCTGTTCATTCACTGCACAAGATATTTATTGAGTGCCCACTACGTGCCAGGCACTGTTGCTGAGTTCCTGTGGGTGTGTCTCTCGATGCCACTCCTGCTTCTCTGGGGGCCTCTTTCTGTGCTTCTCTTTGTCCCCAAATTGCTACCTCTTTGTCAGTCTGGGTGTCTCAGGTTCTGTGTGTCCTTGTGTGCATTTCTGTCTCTCTCTGTCCTCGTCTCTCTGCAAGGCCCTCTATTTCTCTCTTTCTTGGTGTCTGTCCTTTGCCCCCTGTGCCCTCTGGATTCTCTGGGTCTATGTAGGCCCCTGGTCTGCCCTGGGCTCATCAGCCTTCCTGACCTCCTCCTGCCCTCCCCTTCACTCCCTCCCTGGCTCTGCCAGTCGGTTCCCACGGAGCCATTTTTAGCTCTGATCAGCATGGGAATGTGCCTCGGCCTCCAAGGGGCTTTGTCCTGGTGCCCCCGCCCCTGGTCCCAACCTGATCCCACGAGGGAGTTGGGACAGGAGGATTGATGGTGCTCCCCTTCCTGCCAGCGTCAGAGGCCCTGGAGAGGGGCTGTCCATGGCAGCTGGTCTTTATTCCTCCCTCATGAGCACAGGGTCGGGGGGGTCCCCATTCTTGGAAGAGGTTGAGAAGACTCCTGGGCTTCAGCCTCTCCCACCCAGCCCTGCCCCTCACCTGCCTGCCCTCCCCTCCCCCACTCTATACTAGGGACTGGATCTCAGCCTCTGATCAGTTTCACAAAGTTTGTTCCCTAAGGAAATCAAATCCCATTGTCACCTAACTCTGAAGATCTAAATAGCCCTTGGATCAGTATGGGAACCCCAAATCCCACAGGGCCAGATGTGGAGTCTGTGTCTGCCCCCGTCTTCTCTCCATCCTCAAAGCCCCCACTTCTCTCCAGGCTGTTTCTTTTTTTATGACTGTAAACATAGATAGTGCTTTATTTTGTTAATAATAAGATAATGATGAGTAACTTAACCAGCACATTTCTCCTGTTTACACTCGGGGGATTTTTTTGTTTTCTGATGACATAATAAAGACAGATCATTTCAGAATCTGGCCCTTGTGCAGGGGAGGAGGGAGGCTGGCCTAAGTCCAGAATTCCCAAATATGCCACCAGCCTGGGCACCACTGTCCCCTGGTGGCAGCCTGCAGGAGCTTCAGGCCTGGGGCCTCAGAGGAATTGGCTTAATGCAAGGGAATCCCAGGCCAAGCTTGTGAGTGACACATGCCCTCCACAGAGCCCACGCTGAATGCCCCTACCTTGACGAGGTGAGGCCACCCGGATCCTAAGAAAGAAGGCAGTAGTAAGAGCACTGTAATAGGAGTCATGAAGCTCGGGGTCTCTCTAGAACTGGCCACATGGCTGGGGTTGGGGAGTGGGAGCCAGGTCTCTCCTTTGGGGCCTCATTGTCCTCATCTGACAACAAGATTAAACCTTATACCTGGTTCTTACCATTCAGAGAAGTAGCCCTTTGAGACTCTAATGAAAGCTGTGGATCCTTTTCTTAGAAAAGGGCCCACAAAGGTTTACCCTGAAGCCCATCTGAGGCCCCTACGATGCTAATTAATGAAGCAGGGTCTCTAATGATAATGCTTCAGGGCTCTCTATCCATGACACATGCTTTGAGTGAACACTTCAGACCTAGTTATCCCATTAGGAGAAGTAATAGGCCTGCAAGGGCCGGATGACAGACTGAAACACCTCAAAAATGCATATTAACCAGGCTCTAGAGAGACACATCTTGTAGTGAAAAATTAATCCCATCAGTATAGAGTGGGGACAGCAAAACCGAATGGCAGTAGTTCTTGTGGAAGAGTTGGACTTGGGCTGCATTAATAGAGGCTTGTGTTCACAACAGGGGAGGTGATGGTCCAGTGTACCCCACACAGACCTAGTCCCAGGGGTAGCGTGCCCTTCCTCGCCCCCTCACTAGGGAAGTCTCACAATGGAGGGGCCCTGAAGCAGGCACCCCACATGGAGGAGCACAGGAGGGATCCTGGTGCACATTGTCCTTAGAGGAATAGTCAGAAGGGTCAGGCGTGTTTCCTCTAGAAAAGAAGACAGAGTTGGACAGAAAGGACAAGATTGCTTTCTCCAAAACTGCCAGGTGGGCAAAGTGTAGTATTGCACAAAGTTCATGAGGCAGAACTTGAGCTCCTGGATGAGGTTCAAGACTGTCTTGACATAAAGAACACCTTTTCCACAAAAAAGAGTGAACTTCCCAACTCAAGTCCTCAAGCTCTTGAGTACTGGTGGAGGGATTTCTAGATTGGAGAGGGTAGTGGTGAGAGAGGGTAGGTGTGGTGGTTGATTCTAGGGCCACAAAGTTGGGAGGGTGTGGAATGGAGACTGCCCAAGAATTAAGGGCCCAGCCATTTGGTATGGGGAGCGTCCTGAACGCTGGCTGGCTGTTTTTTCCCCAGCCCGGGTTCTCAGAGCCTCCTCTCCTTCGCCCTCCCCACGCCACGTCTGGAAAAGATGCAGGCAGAGGTGGGAGGAGGAGCTGGCGGCGGCGCCTGCCCCCTGGTGGTCACGATGGAGAGCTGCCCATTGCACCTCCCACTCCCCTCAGCCCTCTGCCCTCCGGCCCTCCGCTCTCCGCCCTCCCCTCTCCGCCCGCCCCTCTCGGCCCCCGGCCTCCTCCACTCCACTGGTGGGTCCAAACCATGTCCTGCCAGTCTCAAGACTCTCCCAGCCTGGCTCATTCCCACCTGTCGGTCCTGAGTTCCTCTTCCCTCCCGCAAGTCCTCTTGTCTTGCCTGCCTTATTCCCTCTGCTGAGACACAGTTGCGGGTCCTGGAGCCCCACCCCTGTCTCATGAGAGGCAGGATGGGGCCAGGTGGTTGGAGAGGCCAGGAGCAGAGTGCTGTGGTCATTACCAGGAAAGCTGGGCTACAAGTTCGTCCCCTCCGTGCGTCTCCGGCAGAGACCGAGGGGCAGAGCCCGTTGGGAAGGTGAATGTGCCCAGGAGTCCTTTAACTAGAGCTCTTTGCTAAGAGTCCTGGAAGGGGCCCGAGGGGGTGGAACCCGGATCACACTGGGAGGCTCCCAGGCCTGGTGCTCAGCCAGGAGGACAGGAGTGCTGGTTAGCCTGGGGTGGCAGTGAAAGGAGCCAAGGTGGAACTCCCAGACTTTGAGGAACAGGGTTGTGTTCCCTGCCACCACACCGGCTCACTCCCCTGGAGGACTGGGGGAAGGAGAATGCTTTCTCAGAGGCGGCAGTGGGATGATGTCTGCTGTTAATTCCTTCCCATACAGATGGTGGTCAGGACCTTAGGGGCACAGGACAATACCCGGGGGGGGGGGGGGGGCTCTGTCCCAGCCATTCCCTACTCACCACTGCAACACTTATCTCCAGCGCAACAGCATCAAGACCCAGGAGGCTGGAAACAAAGCTGGCTTCACAGTGTTAATTCTGCCCTCAATTCCAGAGGTGGCTCAGAGAGGAAGAAGGAGCGGGGACACTGCTATTTAGTCCAGACAGGTAGTGTCTATGATGACCACCTGACCCCACAGGTGACCCCAGGGGGCCCCTACCTGCCCAGCCCTGGCACCATCCCTATGCCTGGGCACCTCTTTCGCTCGTGTCCCCCCACTGTCACCCCCCGAGGCTGCTGCCCATGGAGGGCCTGGCTATGCTGGATCACCATGACCTTGAAAGCTCCAGCTGCAGGTGCCAGCTCCAGTGGTTGCCATGGCACCAGGGTGCTTTTTGCAGGCAAAAGCCAAACAACCAGAGTCCACCTGGCAGGCTGCTGCTGCTGTTGCCTCTGCTGCCCCTAAGGGCACTGGGCACTTACTGGCAGGGGGGCAGTCCTGGAGCAGCTGCTGCCCAGTGCACAGCCTGGGAAGTATAGCCGGAGTGACTGGGCTGCCAAGAGGGGTGCCCCCTTCTCATCTTTGAGTTTCTGCTCTTCCTTCTGGCCTTCTGAAAAAGTGACGGATTGGTTCCAGAAATCACTCCTGCCTGTTCTCAGGCAGAGCAGCCCCTTCCCCACCCCACTGACAGCTGGGAGCCAGACATGACCGAGGAAGGTGTCCTGAGCACTTCTATTTAGAATGTCACTGGTTCATCTCCTGGGTCAACCAAAGTCCTTGTAATCCACAGCCTAGTTCCCCCTAAGCAGTGCTTTACCGGGTTTAACTGGTAGGTTCTACTAAGAGAGTCAAAGGCACAGAAGCTGAGTGAGAGAAATAGGGGGCCCTGCCCAGAGCCTTCGGAGCTAGGTGCACAGGAGGATGTGTGCAGGCGGCTACCTTGACTTCAGCATGAAGCCCAGGTGGAGGGGGGATATCAGGAGGGGTTACAGCACCCCTCAGCCCCCACGCAGGGGTCAGTTCCTCACCATTGTCACTCAAGACACAGCAGTCCGGAAATGAGCATTTTAATGCAGAAAGAAAACCATGATAATTTACAAATGAATCACTTTCTGGGCCAGAGCCAGGAAGGCCCCAGGAGCTGTGAGGGTAGAAAGGGAGGTGGAGGCTGTTGAGTGTCCGGGCAACCAGTTTAGTCAGCACCTTTCTGATGGGATCCTGCCCAGGCTCTCCCACGATAGGCCCTGGGGGGCCCTGGCCCCCACCCCATCCTCTTGGCTCCCTCTAGTCATTCCAGATAGGAAGACCTCGGGTCAGCTTCAGGACATAAAGTAGAGCTGGAGAGACATCCCTGGAAGGAGGGCCTGAGGGCCAGGGAGGGAACAAGGCAGGAGACTGCTGGTTCTGGTTTTGGCCACCTCACCCTTGGCCACGTCCCCTCCGGCTAAGCCACAGCACAAAGCAGAGCCAGGCTCTGGAGGCCCAGGGCCTCACCACTCCCTCTCCTGTCCCCCCAGCAGGGGGACAAAACAGAAGCACAGGAGAGCACGTTGGGGAGCATGTTTCCTCGGGCTGAGGTTTGATTGGATCTGGTTTGGAGAAGGTGAGGGATCTCAGAGGAGGTGGCTGCTGGGGAAGATGTCATGCTCAATTCTTGGCCCCCACCCATCACCAAGATAGGTACATCCATGTGTCAGAGTTGGTGTGATGCTGGTTTGGAGCTCAGCACCTCCCACATGGGGCATGCAGGGGGAGACGGACTGGAGGCTCAGGGCACTGGAGGTAGAAAGGAGCCCTCCCCGCCTCCTTCCCCAGGCCAGGAAGGGGTAAACACACATATAAGGCAGCCCCAATTCCAGCAGGGCCTGAGGCTGGGAATGATGTGTTTCCCAGGGGTGGTTATGGTTCAGGACCTGGCTGCAGGCACTTCCTCCCAAGCCTGGTGGGGTGAAGGGGACCCCCGGAAGGGGGTCCTATCAGCCCCTCCAGACAGGAGAATGAGGTCTTCAGTGGCAACCACTGGGGTCTGGCGGCAGGGACAGAGCCTTCTCCCTGGACACCCATGTGTCCCCTCTCCCACCCTGTCCAAGGGTGTGGATCCCAGAGTGCAGAATTGAGCTCTGGAGAACAGGTCTGGCCAGACAGATGGGTAGGGGAGGGATGGGGTGGCTGGTCACTTTGGCATCTCCAAGGCTGACGCTTGAGGCTTCACCTTGAAGTACTGGTTGAATCGGATCACTGCGTACCTGTGGGGAAGACAGAAGGAAGCTGGGTGTGAGGAAGAAAGCCAGGTGGGCCCTGCTGGGGGTGCTGACATCATGAGAAAAGTTTTTCAGTGGCTCTAGGCCTATCTAAGTCTGAGCAGATCAACCCCAACCCAGACTGATTAGTATTATTATTTCTTTTGCTTCTTTTTAAAATTTTTAATATTTATTTATTTTGAGACAGGGTCTGGATCTGTCACCCAGGCTGGAGTGCAATGGCATGATCTTGGCTCACTGCAACCTCTGCCTCCCGGGCTCTGATGATCCTCCCACTCAGCCTCCAGAATAGCTGGGATTATAGGTGCACGCCACCACACCTGGCTAATATTTGTATTTTTTGTAGAGACAGGGTTTCACCATGTTGCCCAGGCTAATCTTGAACTCCTGAGCTCAAGCAATCCGCCTGCCATGGCCTCCCAAAGTACTGGGATTACAGGCATGAGCCACCGTGCCCAGCCTATTTTTTTTTTAACTTCAACTACATTTTTTTTCTTCTTAGATCAGACTAGAGAAACCCTTCCACAAACATGCTTGTTTGGAGTTTTGTTTTTACCGTTCTATATTGTTAAGTATATTCACATTGCTGTGCAAATGAATATCTACAACTTTTTCCTTTTGGACAACCGAAACTAGACCTATTAAGCAATACTCCCCATTGCTCCCTCTCCCCACCCCCTGGCAACAATTCTACTTGGTTTCTATGGATTTGACTACTTTAGTTATCTCTTAAAGAACCATATTTGTCTTTTTGTGACTGGCTTATTTAGCGTAATGTCCTCAAGATTCATCCACGTTGTAGCAAGTGACATTTCCTTCGTTTTTAAGGCCAATATTCTATTGCATGTATAGACTATATTTTATTCATTCATTCATCTGTTGACAGACAGCTGGGTTGCTTCCATCTCTTGGCTACTATGCCAAGAATAATGTTGCCATGAACATAGGTATATAAATATTTCTTTGAGAGTTTGCTTTCAATTATTTTGGCTACCCACCGAGAAATGAGATTGTTGGATCATACGGTAGTTACATTTTTATTTTTTGAGGAACCACCCTACTGTTTTCCATAGTAGCTCACCATTTTACATTCCTACCAATGGTGCAGAAAGGTTCCAATTCCTGCATATCCTTACCAACAATTATTATTTTCTGTTTTTTAACAGCAGCCATCCTAATGGGTGTGAAGCGACATCTCACCATGCTTTGCTTTTTTTTTTAATTAAATTTTATTTTTTTATCATTTCATTTTATTTTATTTTATTTTTTTTTTTTTTTGAGACGGAGTCTCGCTCTGTCGCCCAGGCTGGAGTGCAGTGGCGGGATCTCGGCTCACTGCAAGCTCCGCCTCCCGGGTTCACGCCATTCTCCTGCCTCAGCCTCCTGAGTAGCTGGGACTACAGGCGCCCGCCACCACGCCCGGCTAATTTTTTGTATTTTTAGTAGAGACGGGGTTTCACCGTGTTAGCCAGGATGGTCTTGATCTTCTGACCTCGTGATCCACCCGCCTCAGCCTCCCAAAGTGCTGGGATTACAGGCGTGAGCCACCGCGCCCGGCCTCACCGTGCTCTTCATTTGCATTTCTCTAATAGTTGTGAACACTTTGAAACCAGGGTAGTGATTCCCTTTCAGCTGAAGGTGGGTGAGGAGGAGAAGGGCAAGGCCCTGGACCAGAATGGAAGGAGAAATGATTCCTGGCCTTAGGTACATAGGAGCCTCACAGGACAGGGACTCCCTGAATCATCGATACACAAGCAGCGGCTAGCTACTGAAGGAGTAGCTGGGGCTGTCGCCCAACCAGAAGGCAGCATGGTAAACCCTTAACCACTGCATGGCTTCAGCAAGTCACTTCTGCTCTCTGGACCTCTGTCCTCTCTGCTGTAAAATGAGGGTAAGACCTACAGTCGTTCAGACTGATTTTCAACGATCCCATCCACCACCAGGCTCTGTGGATAGGTGCGCTGGAAGCAGGGTGGGGAGTGGAGTAGGCGGTAGGATTTCGTGGGGACTAGCACACCTCCTACGAGGAACAGGGAGGATATGACACTTCTCTTTTCAGAGTGGTACTTTCCTGGCATCCCCTGGGGATAGTGGCCCCGCTGGAGATGAGCTGGAACGGGGGCGAGTCAGCAGAGCAGGGGAGCGGACTCTGGGCATTCTGCCTGGGCTGTCCTTTGCCCACACCCTGGGCTCAACCAAGGCTCTCCCTTTTCTCCACGTCCCACCATCACCCCCACACTCACCTGAGGAAATCAAAGTCGATGGTGGAGTACTGGTTCTGGATGAGGGCCCAGAGAGCCCAGAAGAAGTGAGACGCCTGGAAACAGACCAGAGAGGGTCAGCCTGGCAATCTCCCCATGCCTGTTTCCGACTCTACAGCACTGGAGGGATGCAGTCATTGTGGAAGACACACAGCTAGGACCCTGGAAGAGATGTGGTGGGGTCTCCCTAGCACAAGCTGGGGAAATTCTGGAGGCCAAGTCACTGCACAGCATTTGGCGCCTCCACTCCTGCTAGAGAAAGGTGGGCAGAGCTAGTTCTACCGAGGCCCTAATGTTTACCAACCCTAAGGCAGGTAGTCAGCAGTGAGGAATTTTGGGGGGTTCCCACAACCTAAGCAGGACCCACACTCCACCTCTGGTTTCTTCCCTATCCAGGGAAATCTCTTGGAGTCTTCAAGGCCAAGGTAGGATCCAGGCCAAGATGAACCCCTAAGCCAGAGGTTAGGCTTAATGGTCAGTGGGGGGCTGGAGCCTCTCAGGAAGGTGCAGGGAAGGAAGAGTGATGGGCAGCAGTGCCCTGGCCACGTGTCTGCTGGAAGATCCCTACACTAACCTCCTCCACTCCTTTTCCTCTCTCCTGGGAGGCTGGTTGGGTTGGAAAATGAACCTAGATATGGAAACAAGAATCCCCCAAGTCTAGGCATTTGCTAAGCCTCAAACCGTGCTCTCCTTGTGGCTAGAGGTACCCACCAGGCCCAGGTCACCTCAGGCTCAAGAAGCCAGGGATTGGATGGGAGGAGGGTGAGGATCAAAAAACTACCTGTCACACACTGCTTATTACCTGGGTGATGAAACAATCTGTACACCAACCCCGGTGACAGGCAGGTTACCTATATAACAAACCTGCACGTGTACCTCTGAATCTAAAATAAAAGTAAAAAAATAAAATAAAATAAAGCCAGGGAGCTGCGGTTCCCGTCTACCCCTGAACAAACACTAGTGATGCCATCACTTTCCCATGTGAGTCCCCCAACCCTTGTGGCTCTCCCATCCCATTCCCACCCCATCCCAGAATCCTCCTCACTCAGGGGTTGGCTACAAAGTACCTCCCTCCACTTTATTTCCTTTCCATTCCTTAAAAGGGGCATAGATAAGCTAGCACATGTGAATGATCACTAAAAAACTTAGCAAGAGGAAGGCTTGTGCTTAAGGTCTTAAAGTCTTAAGACTGAGGAGGAAGAACCTAATGTAGACTCTGTTTTGTGCCAGTGAGGAAAACAGAATAGGGAATCCGAAATTACAGAAAAGTAAAGATTGTATTTAGCTCTCTTCTGTACTGTGAAATTCAAGGCAGCTGACTTGTCTTCTTACTTCTGCAAGCCAACATTAGCAATCCCTGGGCACACACCGGTGGAGACCTGGCATGAACCAGGTATCTTGGATAAGGGGCACTGAAAATTGAGAACTGACAGCACAGTCATTTGAGCAGGAAGAGCCTGTTGGGAAAAGCTTACTTAGAGTTCTGAGTCAGTGGAGGTAGTTACACAGAAGTATGAGCTTGATATTCTGTATCTTCTCTAAAGGTTAAAAAAATATATATGTATATACACACACACATATAGCCAGGCATGGTAGCTCACGCCTATAACCTTAGCTACTCAGGAGGCTGAGGTGGGAGGATCATTTGAGGCCAGGAGTTAGAGACCAGCCTGGGCAACATAGCAATAGCTGATCTCCACAAAAAGTTTAAAGAAATTAGCCGGGCATGGTGGCACACCTGTAATCCTAGCTACTCAGGAGGCTGAGGTGGGAGGATTGCTTGAGCCTGGGAGTTTCAGGCTGCAGTGAGCTATGATTGTGTCACTGTGCTCCAGCCTAGATGACAGAGCGGGACCCTGTCTCAAAAAAAGTATATATATATATATATATATATATGCCGGGCGCAGTAGTTCACTCCTATAATCCCAACACTTTGGGAGGCAGAGGCGGGCGAATCACCTGAGGTCAGGAGTTCAAGATGAGCCTGGCCAACATTGTGAAACCACGTCTCTACTAAAAATACAAAAAAACTAGTTGGGTGTGGTGGTACATGTCTGTAATCCCAGCTACTTGGGAGGCTGAGGGCAGGAAAATGGCTTGAACCTGAGAGGCGGAGGTTGCAGTGAGCCGAGATAGCGCCATTGCACTCTAGCCTGGGCAACAAGAGTGAGACTCTGCCTCAAAAAAAAAAAAAAAAAAGTATATATACATATATATGGATGAATTTAACTGCAGCATGAAGGGCTGAGGTTAGGCAGTAGAAAGAACTACTTATTCAAACAAGGGAATTGCTAACACAGGAAGCTAGGATATTTCTTGGAAGTATTTCTCTAGAAAGGAGAGAGCCTAGACTTGGTGGGGCTTGGGGAGCAGGGAACAGGGCATCAAGTATTAAGAGCTGCCTAAGATGGCTCTTCCCAGGCTTCACCTCTAGGGTGGGGTCAGGAGCCAGGGATGGGTGTCCCCAGGCTCTCACCTGACCCTGGGCTCTGGGTAGGAGGCTAGGTGGGTCACCAGTCCCTCCTGCTAACTCCTCCTTTCCTGCCCCAGCCCTAGAAATAAGGCACTCACCAGGGCAAACTTGTTGACTTGCACGTAGAGCCTTTGCACCTCCCTGGGGGTCACGGCCATCCCCTTTTGTGCCTGCAGGTAGTAGTGCAGCCACTGCAGCTGGGTCTCCCGCGCCGGGTACAGGCAGTAATCCACCTCATTCACGCCTGAGGGGGAGGCAGGCCAGACAAAGTTGCTCAGAGATGGGCCCACCAAGGGTCTCCTCAAGCTCAGTAGGTGTTCCCATCTCCCCTCAAACTCCCATCTCCTTTGATCTTTGGGGCTGTGCCCAAGGAGGCGGCCCGAGAAGGCAGCTTCTTTGATTACTAAACTCAGCTAGTGTGGGGTCTACCCCATCCCAGCTAGGAGCACTGTTTCTGTGGGATTGAGGAAAGCAGAGAGAGAGGTAGACTGGTTAAGGGGCAAGACACTGTCCTGGGAGTGACAGGAACCCCTCAAGACAGCACCACTGTCTTTCCCAACCCCTGCACAAAAATGATGGTGCACAGGAGGCCCTCAGTTAAAAGCACTGGATAAGCATTACTAGCCCTAGGTCTTATGCTAACCTTGTTAGCCTTAAGGGAACTCTTTTCTATCACTGGCCGAAATTTCTTCATTTATCAAATGAGGGAGCTGGACTTCATGTAGGGATATCAAACATGGCTTCCTGGTGTTAAGCTGGCTACTTAAAAACATCACCTGGAGAGCACCCCCACCCCAGTCCAGTTCCCCAGATGGCTCTGATGTGTAGCCAGGCTGGGAACCCATGGATCAGATGGCTCTGGTTTCTTCCAGCCCCACCATAGCCCTCCAGCTGCCAGCCCAGTACCACCAGCCTCATCCTGGGCATGGTAGAATAAACCACAGCTTCAGAGCTGGTACAGAAAGAAGTGGTTTAAGACAGGAGGACCAGGACTGGGCCACCTTCTCTAGGGTTCCCTCCTTCCTCTTCTTCTTGTCCTTCTCAAGCTTCCTTTATATCCCTGGAGAAACATACACAGTCTCCTGAGGCTCCAGGAGCGTGGCTAGAAAAGAATCTCCTGGAACAGATGTACAAACGGAGGCCCAGAGAGGAGAAGAAATGCACCCAAGGTCATATGGTGGTTAGAGGCAGAGTCAGGGCTGGAACTCTCATCTCCCAATGCCCAGAACTGTGTCTTCCTCACTCCTGCGCACCCATGAGGCCCCTCTCCCTAGGTCTGGATCTCCCTAGCTCTCTTCCTTCCCCCAGGCTAGGTTCTTCCTCCTCCATTCTCAACTTGAGAGCAGGCTGCAATCTACCCCTTTGGAGAAATTCCAGTTGGATTTTGCTCTGTGCTGTGGGCAAGGAGGACTTAAAATGCTTAAGAATTATCCCTTGTGGAAAGGCCAGGGGGCCTTGCAGCCAAGCATTCCCGGACCCAGGGCCCTGCCAGTGCCAGCCTCTGCTCCATGCCACACCCCGAGGCTCAGCTGCTCTGCCCAGCAGAGGCTCCATCACCCTGGGGGTTCCTAGGTGTACTCTCAGGTACAATCATTGCTCGACAGATTGATCACCTGGGGTTCCAGAAGGAACACAATTGGCCTGATGGGGCTGGAGAATGGCTGTCCAGTTGGCCTGGGCATGCCTCTCTATCCTGAGCCACAGGGCCTGGCCCCATCATGTGAACACTTTACTGTGCTAGTCTGGGGACAGCTCTCCAGCCCCAGTGTCCAGCTCCGTCCATGTGAGTTGCCTCCTCGGTTCCATCTAATTAAGCCCTCAAGCTGGAAAAACCTGCCTTGCCTCCTCTACACAAATGGTTCCATTGTGCATACTATGCCTTTATAGAACACCTGCCTACCCCTAGGAATCACCCCCCTATCCTGCCTCTTCCATCCCCACTCCCGGAAAGCTTCGCAGTCTAATCACAGCAGCAAACACCAATACAATGCTTAGTATGTGTCATACATATGTGTGTGTGTGTGTCTCATATCAACACTATGAGGTAGGTACTATCATCATCTCCATTTTATAGGGGCACAGAGAAGGTAAATAAACTGCCCAAGGGTCACACAGCCAGTAAGCAGCAAAGCCAGAAACTGAACTTAGGGAGTCAAATTACATAGCACATATTTAGATCCTACTTAGATGACTCTCATCAGGCCACCAGGCAAACAGCTACTTGTAGCTTGTTCTGCTCCTTATCTACATGTAAGGCCCTCATGTACAATTGCGCCAGTTGTACTGGGTATAAAGGAGCTTGGACAAAGGAGTGGAGGCTGAAGTCATCCTGTGCTGTGCTAGCCAAGCTGCAGCAATCGTCTAAGCTGGGTCTGCCTGGAGGAAGGGGTCTTTTTCTAATTCATGTACCAAGCTGAGTTACCAAAGTGCCATATGGGCTAGGAGAGGTCTGCTCTGTGTATGTGAGTCCTGTTTCCTCCAATGAGACTTGGAACTCTCTAAAAGCAGGCTGTGCCTTAACCCCTTAAGCTGTGATATTTTGGAGGACAAGAGCTATCTAGCCTCTACCCTCTAAGTATAGAACCACCTCTGGCCTTCCCCATACCCTGGCCCTGGTCCCCATCCTAAAGAGGGTGCTTTGAACGTTGGTCAAATATAGTCCTGTATTGCCTAATGACAGGGATACCTTCTGAGAAATGCACCATCGGGTGATTTTGTGTGATCATCAGTGTACTTACACAAACCTAGATGGGATAGCCTACTACACACCTAGGCTGCATGGTATAGCCTGTTGCTCCTGAGCTACAAACCTGTACAGCATGTTACTATACTGAATACTGTGGGTAACTGTAACACAATGCTAAGTATTTACGTATCTAAACATGTCTAAACATAGAAAAGGTACAGTAAAAATATGGTACCTATTACCGTAAATATACAGTAATCTCATAGGACCACCATCTACATGCGGTCAGTCATTGACTGAAACACCGCTACAAAGCACATGACTGTAGAAATGCCCCTCTCACCTGCAAACTCATTGAAATGGTTGCCAATGTCAAAAGCTTGGTAGTTGTAGCCAGCATATTCATAGTCAATGAACCGCACGTGACCTATGAAGTAGAGGAGAATCGATGAGAGTTGGCCCAGGAGATCTGGCAACAGAGCCTGGTCAAGCTTCCACAGACCTCTGGGATGCACCCACTGAGTGATGCCGGCCTCTGCAGCAACCCTGCCCAATCCCATCACTGCAGCAGTCTTCCAAGCTACTTCCATTCATCCATCCATCCATCCATCCATCCATCCATCCATCCATCCATCTGCCCTTCCCAGCTCCCAGTGTCCCTCTCACACAGCTGGATCTTCAGGCTCTCCTCATCTAAAGACAGCTGTCCTCAGCATGGCTAAGGATCAGGAATAAAGCTAAGTATTAATACGCCCTGGGGTGATGCCCTCATCAGCAACACCAGGATGTGTTCGTTCTCTCTCTTTCTTGGCACAGATTTTTGTTTGTTTGTTTTTGTCTTTTTTTTTTTTGAGACAGAGTCTCGCTCTGTCGCCCAGGCTGGAGTACAGTGGCATGATCTCGGCTCACTGCAACCTCTGCCTCCCTGGTTCAAGCGATTCTCCTGCCTCAGCCTCCTGAGTAGCTAGGATTACAGGCGCACACCACCATGCCCAGCTAATTTTTGTATTTTTAGTAGAGATGGGGTTTCGCCATGTTGGCCAGGCTGGTCTTGAACTCCTGACCTCATGATCCACCCGCCTTAGCCTCCCAAAGTGCTGGGATTACAGGCATGAGCCACCGCGCCTGGCCAGACTTTTTTTTTTTTTTTAAATAGGGTCTTGCTCTGTTGCCCAGGCTGGAGTGTAGTGGCTCCATCATGGCTCACTGCAGCCTCCACCTCCCAGGCTCAAGTGATTCTCCTGCCTCAGCCTCCCGAGGAGCTAGGACTATAGCATGTACCACCATACCAGGAAAAGTTTTGTGTATTTTTTTTGTAGAGACAGGGTCTCACCACATTGCCTGGGCTGGTCTTGAATTCCTGGGCTTAAGCAATCCACATGCCTTGGCCTCCCAAACTGCTGGGATTATAGGCATGAGCCACTGAGACTGGCCCTTGGCACAGACTTTTCAAAGTGGGAATTTTTTATTTCCTTTCCCCCTTCCCTCCTACAAATTAACTTAAGACCTAAATCAAGGTCTAACTTTTGCTTGTCCAAGTGCCAGCCGGAAGAACAGCTCCGTGAAGCCAGCTAACCAACCAACCAAAACCCTGCTGCTGCCCCAGGGCCAGAGAAGCCATACCTTTGATGCTGTCATAGATGATATTCTTGCAGAGCAGGTCATTGTGACAAAACACCACAGGGGACTCCAGCTGGGACAGATGCTCCTTCAGCCAGGCCAGCTCCCGTTCCAACACCTCTACCTTAGGGACATCTGCAGAAAGGCTGGGCAGTGGCAAAAAAGGTAGCCAGTGAAAGGAGGGCTGATAGACAGGTGCTTGGCCTCAAGAGCCCTGAATCTGAGCCTCATCACTCCCTCTGTCTTACTGCAGGGGGCCTTGGAAAAATGGCCAATCTCTTAGACCCTCACTTTTATCATCTGTAAAATGGCACTGAGGCGTCCTGTCCTTCTGACTCCTCTGGTTATGCTAGGAAGCTGATAAAGACATGGGCGTCAAAGCATGAGGCAGAGCATAAAAGTCACTGACTGAGGGCATCCCTGCTACTTTGTGAAAGGAACAGGAGGGTAAGGAAGGAGACACAGGGAAAGGACAAGGCAGGTGAGAACGAGTGTCCAGACCTGGGGATTCCAGACTAAGAACAAGGGCAACAGGAGCAGTGGGGAGAGATGCAAAACAGACCTGATCTTAGGATGCTGGGAAAACTCCCCAGGAGGCGGTGCAGCTCCCTAAGTCGAGCTGACTCCCACAAAGATCCTCCCCAGGAGGAAGAGTAGTGCCCTGGCAGGGAGCTGGAGCAATGGAGCTCTCTTGAGGAGGCAGAGGTATGTCCTGGTATGCACCCCCCTCTCACCCCAGCAGCTGACCATGTCACAGGTAGAAGGGATCAGAGAGACGGTCTGGTCTAACCTCTCATCTCACAAACAGACCATCGGCTCACATGAGAAAGCAAACTAAGAGCTTCTTTAGCTCACTCCTACACTGTCAAAGGAACATTAAAGCCTTCAATGAAGAGCATGCTTGCTTTGTGGCTCCCCATTGACTCATCCCTTCTACCTTGAGTTATGAGTAAGTGTTCCCTTGTCCCAGACCCCTGCCATATCATGCAAGTGCAACCTGGGGGCATGAACAAAGATGCATGGGTCAACCTCTCCTGCTGCCCCACCCCCATCCCAAGCACTCAGCAGCCATTTCTGCTGAAAGAAACACATGTTGAGGAATGAAGAAATCAGCCAATCAATCAAGTTATCAGAGGCCATGTGGAAGTCTGATGAGGGTCCACTGTGCTTGTGTGCTCTGAACTTTGGTCCCCAGGAGGCACACAGGTCTGTGTACACTGAAAAGGCCAAACACTTATCACAGTCCTTAAAAAACCTAGAACCACCAATGGGCAGAGGGGAGGAGGCTGGGCTTTTATCTCCATTCCTGTGTCACCTGTTTGTGTTTCTCTGTCCAGGGTAGCAAGAGCACATAGAGAAGGATGAGGATGAGACCGGCCCTCTCTCACCTTCCCACAGGACAGACCGATCACTCCCTCACCCAGCCCAGGGGCCAGAACACGAGAAAGAGTATTCAGTGACTGAGGCACTCCTCTGCCCCCTCTGGAGAAGGAAGAGAGGACAGGGTCCCTTCCAGGCTTTGAGAAGGTCAAAGCTCAAGAAGATCTGAGGTTATCTAGTCCAGCCCCATTGGGAAACTGAGGCTCAAGGAAGGAAAGAGCCTCCCTCCAAGCCTCCAGATACCTCTTGCACTGCTGGATCCTTTACTTCTTCATTTAAGGAAAGCAGTCCTTGGCCCGTCCAAGGATCCAAATCGAACGGAGTCTCCTAATTGTGAGGACTGTGCACTCTCTCTGAAGGCCTGGGTGCCCCTCAGAGGTTCTGCAAAGGCCTCTCTGAGTCCAGGGAGTCTGCTGGGAGAGGTGATATGGGGGAGGCCTCCCCCATGCTTCCTGGAGTTTATCTGTGCCGACAGGTCTGCGTAAGATGTGTTTCAGTCCTGGCTCTCCTTAAGAAGCTACCTTTTAAGATTCCTTTTTTTTTTTTCTTGGACTGAGACCATCAAAAGGGAAGAATTAGGAGGGTTCCTTTGGTTTGCTCAGGTCCCGGCCTGAAAAACATGGCTCTGACATCCAAGATGCCTGCTGCTCTGTCCCTGACTTCAGTCTGAACCCCACCCTGCCCACCCCAAGGCCACGCAGATGGTTACTGTGGGAACAATCCCAGCCTTCTATCTCCCCGGGGCCTCCCTCCCTGCTCTGCTTCCCTCCCCTGAGCACTTGAAACATCGCCAGCTTTGCTACCTTCAGTCCCGCCACCACGGGGCTCTTTCAAGGCTGTGGGATCGGCAGAAGAGTAACCACCACCGCATCCCAGAAACACTGCCCAGGAAAAACTGCTCCTTCTGCTCCTCTGCCCCAGGGCCAGCAGGAGGGGAAGGAAGGGGCTGGAGGTCTCTGCAGGGAAGCCTTGGGGTTCCTCCTGATATTGGGACTGCTGCCTGGCCAGTTTCTACTCTGCTGTCAAGATCTGGACAGGCAAGAGTACTTTCTCCCCACAGGGCTCTTTCTAAGCGTTTGAGCTTACTGGTTTCACACTTTGCCCTCCCACCAACCCACCCACCAGTATCTCCTTGTGATGGCCCAACCCAGTTATCCGCCCCACGTTCTCCCAGCCACTCTGGACACATCCATGTCAGCTTAGGGCTTAGGCAGCTTAGGGCATGGATCCAACACCAAGGCTACTAAATCTATTTCCACAGGTGTCCGACACATCCTGCTCTCCACCCGCCACCTCAAGTTGCCGTAGGGCAATGTTCCTCAATCACTTGCCTCAGAATCACCTGGGGTGCCTATCAAAATGTAGCTTCCTGGCCGGGCGCAGTGGCTTACACCTGTAATCCCAGCACTTTAAGAGGCTGTGGCAGGCAGATCACTTGAGGCCAGGAGTTCAAGACCAAGCCTGGCCAACATGACAAAACCCCGTCCCTACTAAAAATACAAAAATTAGCCGGGCGTGGTGGTGGGCACCAGTAATCCCAGCTACTTGGGAGGCTGAGGCAGAAGAATCACTTGAACCTGGGAAGCAGAGGTTGCGGTGAGCTGAGATCATGCCACTGGACTCCAGCCTGGGCAACAGAGTGAGAATCCATCTCAAAAAAAAAAAAAAAAAAAAAAAAGCCATTTCCTAGGGGGCAAATGCAAGACCTCTCAATTGATCTCCAAAGTTGGGCACTTCAGGGGAATCTTATGCTCAAAGTTTGGGAATCCTAGTCCTAGATCTTGTTCACTTAATTACATCACTCCCAACTGGTCTTCCTACCTCAAATCCACCCTCCCCCACCAATCTGTCCCTTATGATGCTAGAGGACTTTCTTCCTAAAGCCCAGTCCTGGTCAGGTTACTGACCTGAATCTCTGACTCAAACATCTTCATGACTTCCCGCTACTTGCTAAATTAAATCTTGGCTACTTAGCCTGACATTTAAGGCCCCTTACCACCTAGCTCCAACTCTGTAGTCCACCCCCGCCCCCAAACCCTTCCCAGGTCCTCCCAAAGATCTGCTCCAGCCAACCTCATCTACTCGTCACTCAGGAGCAAACCCTGCTCCAGCCATCTCCTCCAGTTGGAGTAGCCTCCCTGCTTATTTCTGCCATGCCACCTCTGCCAAGACAACTTTCCCTGGTTCTTCCACCCCCAGCATACATTATACACACCCTGCCTTATTTTGCAGCTGTGCATGGGCATGTCCTGTGTACCTAGATGGCTCTTAAGCTCTTTGAGGGCAGGGCCAGTGTCACATTCATTTTTAAATTGTTTTAAATCCCAGTCAATCAATGTCTGTGAAATGAAGGATTGAATAATTCAGGGTTATTAGGCAATGCCTGGAGCTCCAGGTGCTTATCTCGTCTAAATGATTGCTCATCATTGTTCTGCTTTTGGGCAGTCAGGCAGCTTAGGGCATGGATCATCCCCTAAAGAGGCTCAACGAAGTTAAGCAACTTGGTTTGTCCAAGGTTCAAAGGTGTGACAAGAGCAAAGAGATTGGGCCAGCTCTTCTCCAGGGATTACTCCCTCCCAGTAAGGTTACCCCCAAGGTCACACAGTGACAGCACAGTCAAAGGAAGCTGCAGTATCAAGGATTATGTCTGAGCACCAGAAGCCTGGCTCTAGTTGCTAAGCTGCCACTGATCAGCGACCTTGGGCAGGTTCCATCCCCTCCCTGGGCCTCGGTTTTCCACTTGTCAAATAACAGCTGTGGGCTGAAAGGTTGGAAGGACCTGTTCTCTACAAACTGTTCTAACCCTGAGGGAAAAGGAGGTCCTTGTCCCAAAGAGAATATTTGACATACAAGGTCTGAACATGGTCAAAGAGAGGGCAGGCCTGGGCCACCTTGGACAAATAGTCCCAAAGCAGTGCTTGATAGGCATGGCATGGGATGATGCAGATAAAGTCATGCATGTGTGTGACAGAGACATACTCAAAATGGGGATAGAGTTAATTATTATCTTGTCATCTTGGAAGAGGGAAGACACATCCTTCACCTCAAACCTCTTCTGCACCCTACTCCCATGAACATTTGGAACACGGGTGATAGCCAAACCCAGCAGGGAGCGTGAAGGAATGAGACTCACTATTGCCTTTTTTTGGAGGAGGGAAGGCAAGACACCACGCTTTCCTCCAGGCCTCCATCCTTTCCTCGGCACTCAGGGTGTGTTGGGGAGTCAGGCGTCTAAAGGCTTGGAGGACTCTCAGGTTGCTGGTCAGAGTGCTTAAGGGAAAACTCAGGGAACCCTGTCTTATCAGGGAAAGGCAATGTCAGGATGGGTGGTCTATCTCCTTTCCTGGGAAGAGCAGTGAAGGAAGCAGCAAGCTGTCAGTCAGAGCAAGGTGGGGGCAGGGTCCCCAAAGGCACATGGGGACAAGAGGGGTCTTGGGAAGTAGCAGGAACCTCGATGTCCCCAAGGGCTTGTCAGCTGATGAGTTGAGTTCTTCTGACTGATGCTAAACTCAGTCCCACCTCATTCTGAGGGCCCTGCCCTGCTCATGGTTCAGAAGGTGGGGCAGGTGGAAAGAGCCCTGGGCTGGGAAACAGAAGCTCTGCCTCTTACAAGCCCCATAACGCTGGGCCAAGCTCAGTCTCTGAGCTTCGGCATCCCCTAAGTAAAATGGGGAAATGTCCCCAACCCTGGTCCCTGCCACAATCAGAGAGTGAAGGAGAAATGAGCACATGGGTATAAAACTGCCCATCTAAGCTCCTTAGTCAGGAGGGCCAACTCTGCTTGGAGACAGAGGCTTACCGACTAGGACTGAAGGGACTGCAGGAGAAACTCCCCAGCCTCCTCCCCGAGACCTAAGCCCTTAAACCTCCTAGCAGGGTGGGCTGGAGCCAAAAGGATGGGGAAGGGAGATCATATTAAGGCAGCCTTGGACCCTCCCAGATCTTTGTACCTGGGGTTGATCTCGTTCTTCACAAGCGTGAAATAATTGTGCATCTTGTGCCAGAGGATGGGCTTGGGCAGGCTGCCGTTGGCGTGGATAGTATGAATCTTTGCCATTTCTAAGGCGATTAACCTACAGCAGGGAACAGGAAGAGTAGAGCATCAGTGCTGGGACATTGCCTTCCCCACTCATTTCCTCCTGGCCAGATAGGGACCCTCCAGGCCCACCAGGGCACTTGCCAGAGGGCCAAGGATGGGATGATTGCAAGTCCCTTAGGAGCACAGGTCCTGCAGAAGGAAGGTCTCAGCAGAAGAGAGGAGAATGAATTAAGACCTTAGCCTGGCTGCTCCCTTTCCAGTGCCAGGCTGGGGCTGCCTCAGGGAGCAGAAGGGCAGAGCAGTGGGGCTGTTGGTCACAGGTCAGTGGCCTTGTCCTACCCCAGTGTACCCATAGCAACTCCTGAGAACAGAGGGGCACCTGGGGATGGGGGCGGGGCTGGCCCTCCTCTCCCCGGACTCTGACCCATCCTCTCAGGGGACGTGAACATAGTTCACTTTGCACCAAGAGATCAGGGGGTGGTGATGCCAGGCAGGGAAGAAATGCCCGCCTCTTATCAGCCTGGCCAAGGTGGGGAGGGAAACAGGCTGGCCCAGGGTAGCCCCTTCCTCTGCTATAGGGAGTTGATGCTGGCGGCTGGGTGCCAAGGCCGCAAAACAAGCCAGCGTTCTATTTTCAAGTTCTTCTGTGGACATTATCCAAGGTCTCAGGAGAGGATTGGGTGGTAGGAAAGGTTGCTGGGAGAAGGTGGGGGTGAATGGAAAACTGACCGGTCAGAGAAGGAGGGCCTTGATAAAGACCCCATCGCCCGAGGCCCTGTGTCCCAGCTGGGCCCTCCCAGTCCTCTTCCAGTCTTCCCTTCCGCTGTCCCACCCCCCAACCGTCTGCTAAGACTCCAACATTCAGCTTCCTTCCAACATACAGCCTCTGCCTGTTGCTTGAATAACAATCACTGGGAAAGACAACAAAGGCCTTAGCTGTTTGAAACCTTGTTACCAAGCTGTTCAAGGGGTATCCTTTCTCTTGCCAGGCCCTGGAAAGAGGCAGGCCATACCCTACTGGGATAACAGAGCAGTTTTGGGGTTCCTCTGGAAGCCCCCAAGGCTCCCACCTCCTAAAGGGTGGAGGAGACAAGGGGCGTGGCAGCAACCTCCTGGGTGAGAGAGGAAGGCTGTGCTTTCTTTCAGAGGCCAGAGGCCCTGGGGCAGAAGGGAACCCACCAGGGTTTGGGCAAGGCAGGGAAACAGACCTGAGACTCAGGCCTTCCCTTCCCAAAGGAAGATTCGGAACAGAGCATGAACAGAGCGTTTTCTTGAATATCAATAGGGCTGTTGTCTGGAATAGCAATGAAAGTAACCTCAACACTCAGCATTTTCATGCTGCAAAGCCTCAGCAGGCTGAGGTTGGGGGTGGGGTTCAAGGGAACATGTAGAGGGTGGTTCCTGGAGGCCTTCCCCATAGACATTCACCTTCACCCAGAGGGATGATGGTCTATCCTGGGAAAATCATCAAGGAAGGGCCTACCTCCTACACCTATCCCAATTTCGGGCTCTCCCCCAGATGTCACGTTCTTCTTCTTATGGAACCTAAATCCACCTTCAATCTTCCTGACAATGGTAATTGTTTGCGTGACAGGATGAGTGACAGCATCGGATACACAGAGGTGGAGGGATCCTGGGAGTGGTGACGACCTGACAATATCTGAGCTTATATGCACCAGATTGAGGGAGAGCTGGGGGGAGTGCAGTGGCAGAAGTCAGGACAGGGTCCCTTTGCACCCTGCTCTGACTTCACATCTCCAGTCTGGGTCCTTTTGGAACTGTTCAACTGGAGCCTGCAAACATCCCTGCATAGGTCTGTATGCCTCTCACACCCTCAAGACACACACACACACACACACACACACACACACACACACACACTGCTACAATACACAACTCAAATATCCCGCCTGACCAGCCGCTTATGAGCATGGGGGTGGAAGAGCTCTCAAATCCTCTTCTTCTAAGTCCCTGCAGAAGGCATGCACAAACACAGCCAGGTGCATTTGGGGTTAAGTGGGTGGCAGGTGAGGAAGCAAAGAAGCTTCTTGCTCTACCCCCAGGTGGGCTTGTTTCCCCTCAGTATGCAAGCCCTCCTTCCCCTTGGATTAGCCTGGGCAGATGCCAAGGCTCCTAGGCAGATCCCCGTGCCACTGTCCCAGTGTCAGGAGTAAACCTCAGCCTGCCTTGGGCCTCACTCAAGTCTGAGTGCCCTCCGTGTGGGTCATGACATTGGAGGGAGGAAGGAGGACACTGCTTGCCATCCTTGTTCTGGCACAGAGGAGAGGGAGATGCTAGGGGTCCTTCTTTGGTCCTCCCCCTTTCCAGGCTCCACAGCATTCCCAGGGCTTGAAGGAAAAGTCCAGTTCCTGGGCCCTACACATCCAAGCATTTACTGGGAGGGGCTCCCCAGGAGCCACAGGTTCTTGTGAGCCTTTGAAAGGAGG
The DNA here is from genome assembly GCF_000001405.40 of Homo sapiens. NCBI lineage: Eukaryota > Metazoa > Chordata > Mammalia > Primates > Hominidae > Homo > Homo sapiens. Next base: position 204,149,178 of record NC_000001.11, read on the forward strand.
CCTTGACAGTTCCCCAAACCTGGGTTCCCACTTCGTCAAGGAGCCAGGAAGGAGTTCAGACTGGCAGAAGAGATAGCATCTCCCTGGGCTGGTAAAACCATGCTTACCCTGGATAGGGCCCATTTTCCTTGACAAACAGAGACAGAGGTAGAAAACCCTGAGTGCCCTGGGGATCTGGCTCAGATTTCATTTCTAAGGCTCTGAGATGTTTCCAGGTCAGACTTGGAGTGGGCAGAGGTTTGAGGCATGATGCCAGGAAGCAGATCTCTGCCGCACTTAGGGAACCAGGTCCTCTGCTCCCATGTTCATCACAATTCTTCCTTTCCTCCCCCAGAACTCACCCTTAAAATCTACAGAAAGCGATAGCCCCTCTCTGCAGAGCAATGCATATAAACATGCATTTTTCATGCAATTTCAGGGAACTCACAGATCTTACAACTCTCCACCATGGACCCCACATGCCAAGGATTTCCAAGCCCAAGGCCTGAAGAATAGTAGAGACAGAGGCCCTGGCACCCTCCTCACCTGAAAAGCCGGGGCTCACGGATGTGCTCAGGCTCCAGGGCCACACCCTGCATGTACTCATAGCACAGCCCATTCTGGAAGGTGCAGTAGAGTTTGGGGGCACAGCTGTGTGCTCGCAGCAGCTGGAAGTTTCTGACCTCATTCTCCCGGTCCACCAGCAGCTCCGTCCGCTCCCCATACACCCGGACCAGCACGCAGTCCTGCATGTCCTCCTCCACATAGCAGGCCACCAGCTTGTTGGTGATGCCATCCGTGAAGCGCTAGCATGGGGAGAGGACAGTGCGTGGGTGGGTGGGTGGGGCAGGATCTCTCTGGTCTCTCTCCTGGGCTCTGTAGCTCCAGCAGGAGGTGCTCATTTGAATGCCGAGCACAACCACCCCAAGCCCCCAGTGCTTTAGCCCAGTCACTCATGCTCCTCTCTGTCCCCAACCTTGGGAGTCTCCAGTCTCTATAGAGTTCAAGAAAAAAATGGTAGCTTGGGTTTAGCTCCCACACACTCCTGGGTGTGCCTCTAGTGAATGGGATTTGGCAGTGGAGAAATTTCCACACTACTTGGGAGGTAGACGCCTCCTGCTGCTCCTTACCCTCCACCCCAGTACGGAAAGAAACATCATGGACCAGAATGTGGCAGGGGAGGGCTGGGAGTTGCCCAGAACACTATGTCCTGACCAGCTGCCAATCACCTTGTGCCGGGCAGTGTGCTCTGCTCTACCCCTTGCCCCATCCAGTGGTGGAGGTACAAGGAGGGTACTGAGGTTGGCACCCATCCCAGGACTTTAGTGGCCAGAGGTCCTTACCAGAAAAGACAGGAGACAACTGGGCTGCGAGCAAGGTTCTCTGGACAGCAGGGTGATGAGGAGAAAGGAACCATGGAATTTACGGGGCACAATGTGACAGAGCTGGGAGGGCCCTAGAGGTCATCTGAACCAATTCTACGTAGGGAAACTGAGGCAGGAGAGGGGAGGGACTGGCAGATAGCACGTTAGATCAGTGCTGGAATTAACCTCAGGCCTGCTTGATGCCTTGACAGTCTTATACCAAACTGGGCCTTTTATTTTGAAAACGCTACTCCATCCCCAGGGCGGGTTCTGTCAGCCTCCACACTTGGTTAAGAACCTCCCCACAACTTTGCCCCCACCCCACCCCAGAATGCCTGTCTGCATGGAGCCGCTACCATTCCAGCACAAGCTACAAGCGCCCCACTCGGCACCTTCCTCCACAGGCAGCCCACAGCGGGGCTGGAGGTAGTCAGCTGGGGAGTTAGCCTAAGGCTCAGTGAGTGGCTCTGCCCACAGGTGTGTCCTGGGACCTGTGTCCAGCTGGGGCTGGGGAAGATGGCCTGTGTGGGGGTGCTGAGCCCGAGCCTGCAGCGATGGTGAGGAGCTGAGTGCTAGCTGGAATTCCACAGGGTGGCTCCTGGGACCCACAGGGGCAGCTCAGAGCCTGGAGGATTTGCTCCCACCATGGGGTGGAGAAGGGGCAGCAATGTATGCATGTATGGCTGGGTCGGGGGGGCGGGGGGTCTCTTAAAAGTTCCCGCCTCCTCAGGTTTCAGAGCTGGCTGGGTACGCGCTTCTGGTCAGCGAGGGGCACCAGCACGCAGCGACAGGGGGTGCGGCCCGCACACGCAGCATGCCGACAGTGGGCAGGTGGCCACCAGGCGTGCCTAAGAGCCCCGGGAGGAGGGGGGCGTGTGCAGGGCCAAGGGAGGTGTGAGCCTAGTTTTGGTAGCGACGAAATCAATCCGTACACAAACCACGTTCCAAACCTTTCTTGCGCAGCAGCCGCGCACCCCTGGGACTGACACCCGGAAGGATGCGAGGACTGGGTCCCCGCATCCCCCTGGCAGCCCTGGCAGGACCCCATCCTCGGCCCCGCGCCCACTCCGCTACCTTGGTCCGAACTTGCTCGGGTTTCCAATGCGGCCGCAGCTCCTGGATGAGGCGCAGGGCCCCGGGAAGGATGTCGTCCGGGTCCACGGAAATGCCGAAGTACGCGACGGCGGCGGCCCTCGGGGGGCCCGGCGGCTCCCGGCAGCTGGCGCTGGCCGCCGCCTTCTCCTCCATGCCCCATGAGCACTGCGGGCAAGGCGTGTGCCTCCTCAGGTGAAAGGACGCGCGCGGCTGAGGGGCCGAAGGGGGCACAGCCATTCCCAGCAGCCCCACCCCCTCGGAGCCGCGGCAGACGCTAGCCCCGGCGGGGGGGTCCGGCGAGGGAGTGGGAGTGGTAGAGGAGGGGCCAGGGGAAGTCCATGACTCAGGCGCGAGCTGCCCGCTTCGATCGCCGGCTCGCGGCCCGCCGCCCACCGCCGACCCCGGAGCGCCGCGGCCCGCCGCGATTGTGACATCACGGGCGGTGGCCCGCGGGAACGCCCCCGGCCCGCCCCCGCCCCGGCCCGCGGGCCGCTGGGGAGCTCAGCCAGCCACCGCCGGCAGCTGAGGCCGCCGCTACCTGGAGCGCGGGGTGGGGGCGACGCCCCCCTGGGGGCCGGTGACGCCGGGGGTGGGGCCTCCGCTGGCTCCGCCCCGCCCGGGTCCCCGCCGGGGCTGGCTTCCCGGCCTCCGAGGCCGCGAGACTCCAGCTCTCTCCCGGTAGCCTGGGGTGGAGGCGGGGGAGGGCTCGTCCTGCGCCCCCACCTCATCCTGGAATAGAGAGATCCGCTGCTCCCACGACGTCAGCTTGGGCTCGCCCCTCTGTGCCCCTGCTCCGTGCCCCCAGTCCCCGGACCCCGGGAAATGGCTCTGCAGGGGCGGCCCCTGCTGCATCTCAAAGGTCCTTCCCTGCAGAGAGCCCCCCCCCACACCCAGGCAACCTCCCATCCCCGACAGAAACACACTGCATGAAGAGGGGACATTGGGTGATAGCGTTGGGGTGAGAGTGTGCCAGTCCAGCAGACTGCGCTGTCCCCTGGCAGGCCACTGAACAGCCAGGGCGTTGGAGTGTTTGGGCACATCCTGGGCAGGACTTGGGGCCAGACTGAGTTAAAGCCTCCCTCCCATCCTGAGCGTGTGAATGGAGCCAGGTAGCAGGCCAGCGGTGTACCCGAGCCCAGTGCTTTGCTTGGCATTCGGGGTGTGAAGTGGACAGACCCTCGCGCGTCCTGGGGAGGACAGCCAAATGCCTGGCGCAGCTAAGGGCCAAAGCAAGGCATGGTGATGGCTGGGGGTGGGAAGGAAGGGGAAGGGGTGACAAGGTGTCCCGGGGCAGGTTGCTGTGGGGAGGAGACATGGAGAGAGGCCAGGCCGGCTCAGGGGGCAAGTCCCTCTACTAGCCAGATTCTCCTTTGGTCATTCTCTGCCACCTTCTGAGCAGGGCTCTGTTGGCTGCCAGCCCTATTTGTTGTAGTGAGGCCTCAGGGATCTCACTAGTCACTATCTCTCACTGCCCCACCCAGAAAAGCGCCTTCAGAGAAGGGGCCCTTTCCTATTTTCCCAGTTACCCCTTTGGCCTATCCCGGAACCTCTCAACCGCAAGGCTCCTATGCTTACTGCGGTCCAGAATCCAGCTCTGCCTAGCAGAACTTCTGCAGTGATTGAAATGTTCTATATCTACTGTCCAATGCAGTGACCACTAGCCACGTTGATTTTATTAAAAAAATTTTTTTATTTGAGACAGAATTTCGCTCATGTTGCCCAGGCTGCTGGAGTGCAATGGTGTGATCTCTGCTCACCACAACCTCGGCCTCCTGGGTTCAAGCGATTCTCCTGCTTCAGCCTCCTGAGTAGCTGGGATTACAGGCATGTGCCACCACGCCCAGCTAATTTTGTATTTTTAGTAGAGACGGGGGTTCCTCCATGTTGGTCAGGCTGGTCTTGAACTCCTGACCTCAGGTGATCCACCCTCCTCGGCCTCTCAAAGTGCTGGGATTACAGGCGTGAGCCACCGCGCCCGGTTGATTTTATTCAATTTTAATTAATTTTAATTTTAGTGTAAATAGCCACATGTGCCTACCATATTGGATAGTGAAGGAGATAATGGGGGTCGTGCCTGCCTTCCTAAGGTCCTGGAGCTCCAGGATGGAGCTGGAAAAGACACTGGCCACCAACACTTCCTTTGCAGTGAGGAAGTACAGCTATGCAGGACAAGGGAACATGGAGAATCAGTGGGAGTCCAGGGTCCTGAAGCCCAGGCTCCGGCTCTTGGCGCTACACAGGGACTCTTGCAGATGGCTCCCAGAGGTACTGAGGGCCTGGTTGGGCCATTCAGTGCCTCACGACTTTCTGTCAAAAGAGAGGTGAGCAACTATGGTGAAGAGGGATGGCTTCAGTGGCTCCAGGTGGATGCTAATTTCTCATTCCCCAAGTTACATGTGCCCTGAAGACAGCCCAAGGAGTGAGAGTGGGAGAAGAGACTTCAGCCTGACGAGTCCCAGGTGGATGGGATGGAGGATAGCAGTGTGTGTGTGCACCTGTGTGCTTGTGCACGTGGCCCTGTACCAGCGTGCGTGAAGCACTGTACTTATGACGGTACCAACTGCTTATGATAAGGTGGAAACCCCCAGGACCCAAGTCAGACGGGCTGGGTTCCAGTCTTGATTCTTCACTATCTTTCAGTATTCTTCACTACTTGATTCTTGACCGAGTAATCTTGGGCAAGGCCTTCCATTCTCTGGGCCTCAGTTTCCCCACCTGTAAAGTGGAAGTATTGCCTGGATCTCTGGTGTTCTATGATTTTAGGTGGTAGTGCCTTAGAATGCCTGTGTAAATGGCTACATGGGGCAGGGCGGGGGCATCTGCAGTGGATAAGGACAGCTGAGGGGAGTTTTGCAGGGACAAGAGACAGGGCTGACTAGCTCAGCAGAGCAGAGTCTGAACTCAGAGCTGGCTTCTGTGAGCTGGGAGAACTTTCTGACCCACAGTCTACTGCCACAGCATTAGCCTTGGTCCCTGAGGGACTAGAGGGAGCTTGGTTCCGGCTCTTTTCAGACTTCCCACCTGAGGTTGTGTAAACAGCTCCACCTGAGTCCCGTTGATGGCAGATGGATGGCATCATCCCTGCACGCAAGAACCTGTGCGCTAGGCGAATGTGTAGCTTGTCTGTGTCACATTCCTGTCCACACATGATCACGCAGCCCCTCCCTCTGTTCTAAACCCTAGTGAACCCAGATGCAACAGGCTGTGAACATGAAGTCTTTATTCTCTTTGTCCTCAAAGCAGGGAAGGGCTGGTGCAGGGGTCAGGGCACGCATCCAGCAGGAGCTCCACATCCAATGTCTCCATCTGAGGGCATAAGCCCAGGCAGAGGGGCATCTCAGAGAGTGTTCCAGCTCTGGGCCAGGGCTGAAGGCAGGGCCTGCCTGGGTGGCAGAGGGCCTCAGCGGGCCAAGGCGAAGCCAATGCGGTTGTTACGCCGATCAAACTCTGTGTAGAACTTTCGGATGAAGGTGGCCCCCAGGGCCCAGGTGGGTCCAGTGGGTGGCGGGATATCCATGGCGTGGATGGCCAGTGTGCACAGCTTTTTACTACTGTAGGATTCCTGGCAGGAAGGGGGAGAGTTTCTCCATACCCAGCACATGAGCATTCTCCTTTCACCTTGCCTGACCCCCAGCAACTGTCTTCAGCAACATTCCCCCTCTCGCCCCCATCTCTCCCCTAGCCACACTGGGCCTCCCTCACATCATGGCCATTTTGCCCCATCGTGGACTGCACCACTCCTATGTTTAGCCCCTGTGCTAGATCCCAGGCAAACAATGCATCAGGCACCGTGCTTCCTTCAGGAGCTTACAGTTTGCCTTAGCTTCTGATCCTAGACAAGTTATTCAACTTCTCTAAGCCTATTGATTATGAAAAGAGGGTAAGAATATAGGAGCATAGGATTCTTGGGAGTATTTGATGAGAAAATGGAGATGAGGGAACAGGCATAGTGATGCCCAAACATGGCCACACATTGGAATCACCTGGGGAAACTGAACCCCAGGTGCCACTTCTAGAGGTTCTGATTTAATAGGTATGGGATGTGGCCCAGGTACCAGGATTTTTCAAAGCTCTCCAGGTGACATGCACAGCCAAGTTTGAGAACTACAGTTCTAACATGACCTGTGCATTGTAATCTGTCACTCTTTGAGGGTCTCTGTCCAGCCTTTCTCCCTGCCACCGAGGGGGCCGACTCGAACCTCACCTGAAATACATAGTCCGCGCTGGTGAGCGTGTATTCTTTGCCTCCCAGGTGGAAAGAGATGTCGGGGAGTGTAGGGCCCTCGTTACACTTCACGACATACTGGGGTGGGGGGCAAAGAGAGCCTTCTTGAGTATGGAAGACGTCTCAGCAGACAAGGAGTCCTGCGCTGGTGGCCTGGTCTCTCTGCTGGAGAGGGCTGGGGACAGTGCCCCGCCCCATGGGTGACCAGCCACATGTGTGGAGAGTGTGAGGTGAACAAGCGAAGGCCTGAGATGGCCTCATTTGCCTGGGGGATTTGTGAGCCGATACCAGGTGGCGCTCCCCCCACCCACAGCACCTTCCCTCTTTGGCTTCTTACATCAAACAGCCTCTTCTTGGCTCCCAAGGCCTCCATGAGCTTCTCTATGGAGCTGGTAGAACCTGAGATGTAGGATGCACCGGTGTCTACCAATGCCAGGCAGCCGTCTTCACAGAGCAAGGTGGATGACCCCACAGACACCCTGGGGGAGGCCACAGTCAGACAGACAGACAGACAGACAGACAGAAGGCTGATGGGGCACCTCCAGGCTGCATGTCCTTCCTGAGTGTGGGTGGGTGGGTGGAGGCCACGCTGGTGGCCTGTTGAGGCAGTGAGTAGAGGAGGGAAGGTACTGTCACCCTCCACCACTTCTCCCCAGGCCCCTCCCTTCTCTGTTCCCCAGCCTGGACAGAGCAGGCAGAGAGCAAATGGTGGCTGTGCTTAAGAAGTGGCTGCATTTGGAAAGAGGGCAGGATGGTAATGCAGTCCTTCCCCACCCTCCCCAACCCCAGTGACGGCAGCATTTTTTGGAGCCCGGGGAGGGTTGAGGATTTCTGACCCCTTCATTTGAATCTGCCAGACACCAGTCTTGATGAGGTTGATATAGTGGAAATTCCCTTCGTAATGCTGGGGGTCGCTGCCTCCCAGCACAATCTGTCCTCCCAGCGATTGGGAATTCCTAAAGGAAAGATCAGAAGCTCTTGGAAACCCATAACCTCCAGGACCCAGCAACTCAGGCAATTGGGGAAGGTTGCACAAGGGTGCAGGGGAGGACAGAGGGCTCTAGAGCAGAGGAATGTGGGACAGACAGCCAGGCTCGGAGCTGTCGTTGGGAAGCATGCAGAACATACTGCTTCTCTGCCTTTCTTCCCCTCCCCAAGACCAACCAGAGGTTGTTCCAGGGTAGTCCAGCTGTTCCCCCAAAAAGCATCCCCAGAGAGGTCACAGAAAAGGAGCAGGTACAAGGACAGTGAGTGGATGTGAACAAGACACAAATGGACACCCCTCACTCTTGGGTTGCTGCTGATTGAGCAGGTGCATGGGAGGGGACCCTGGGGAGGCTATTGGGTATGGGGTGGGCAGGTGGCATGGAGAGAGCAGGAAGGAGAGACAGAGAACTTCGGCATCTAGCGGAGGCTGGGCTTGCTGATGTGAGTTTTGGGCCGGTGGCGTGTGTAATTCTAGGTCAGGTGCTCGGGGAGTACTGGAAGGTCACAGCCATGTGGGGGTTTTGTCTCCTTACTCGGAATCTCTGCAGAGAAAGAGAGACAGCAGAAAGGAAGCTTCATTTCATGCCAGCCTCATCAGCCCTGCTGTTTGGCAGGGTGGGTGTTATGTACTCTCTTTGCCCTTCAGGCAATGGAGTCACCAAGAGGCGAAGTCACTTGCCTGAAGTTACCCAGTCCATGAGTGAACAAGTGGGGGACTGGAGCCAGGCTCCTGGTGCCCCGTCTGGAGCTGATTCCCCTCACCTTCCTTTCCTCCTCACTGCACTTGGCTCAGGGACTACTGTAGGCCTAGTCTCCAGGGCATGCCTGTGTGTGTGATGTGTTTTTCCAGAATTCATACTAGAATTCACACATGCACATGTGTGCATGGGTGTGTAGGTGTGCATATGTTATTTTGTGCAACTGCAAACTACTTGTGTTTTTATAAATTCGGAATGTATGTGTATATGCTAGCACAAATTCCCTCCTGCCTGTCTCTCAACACTTCAGTATCTCTCTGGATGTTCCCTCCTTCCCATCCCAAGATAAAAGAAGAGGCCAGCCCTCTCCTCTGCAAAACCTGGCTTCTTCCTGTCTGCTGGAACCTCATCTCTTTCAAGGCCTCCAAACTCCAGTGCCCCCATTTAGCTCCTCTTCTTTCCACATTTTTAATCTCTTTCTTTCCATTGGCTTCTTCCTCCACCTACAGGCATCACTCGAGCATCCTCTAGCATTTAAAAACACCCACCCTTCCTCTTCTGCTTCTGGATCTCACCCCCCACGCCACCCCCCATTCCCTTCCCTGTTGAATGTCCCAGGGCAGCCTACATCTCATGACCTCCACTTCCTGACACCCACGTCGTCCACCTCTTAACTTCTTGCCATCTGGCCTTGCCCCCACTTCCTCTAAAACAGTTCTTCTAAAGACCACCCCTGAATGCAGAGCCGCCAATTGGCCTTTTCTCAAGGCCTCACTTTCTATCACCAAACCGGAGACTCCTCTCCATTTTACTGTGAGATTTCTCTGAACTCTGATCCTCTCCTCTATTCTTTTTGCCACTGGCCTCATGTTCTTACCCTTGTGACTTTTTTTTTTTTTTTTTTTTTTTTGAGACTGGATCTCACTCTGTTGCCTTAGCTGGAGTGCAGTGGCACAATCACTGCTCACTGAAGCCTTAACTCCTGGGCTCATGCGATCCTCTCGCCTTGGCCTCCCAAAGTGCTGGGATTACAGGCATGAGCCACTGCACCCAGCCCCTTTTGCCTCCAGCTCTCTTGTCTCCAACTCATGCCATCTTTCTAAGCCCAGCAGTTTGGAGTAGAGCCCAACCCTGCTCAAGAGCTTCCCCAAGGCTGGCTGAGCTGCATATAAGCTCAGCCTAGAATTGAAAAGCATCCATGGTTTTCAGCACCACACTTGCTGCCTGCCTGTGACACTCTTTATGTTGGAATATGTCTTGTCTTCCCTGTTAGCCTGTAAGCTCTATGTGGGTAGGGGAGTACAGATTCTGCCTTGTTCACTGTGTTCACTGCTGCACCCCCAGAGCCTACCACAGTGCTTGGCACATAGCATTTACTGAACTGATGAGTGAGCAAACAAACGAATGAAGGATCTAATGGATGACTGAAGTTGGCTGTCTCTGTGTGGGAGGAGCCATGGCCCTAACAGGCAGGGCTACAGGTCACAGTAATCCCTTATTTACCATCGCCCCCACCTTGCATCTCCTCTTGCTCCAGAGTGGCGCTGTCTATTAGAATGTCCTGTCATGCTGGGAATATTCTCTATCTGCACTGTCATAAGACTGTAGTTACTAGCCACCGTGGCTGCCAGGCATTTGACGTGTGGCTAGTACAACTAAGAGCCACCAGTTGAATGCTTAATTGATGCTTAACTGTATTTAATTAATTTAAATTTCAATAGTGCCTTCCATATTGGCTAGTACAGCTCTAGATATTGATTGGCTGTCACCTAATTACAAACACTTTACAATTCTGGCCCAGACTCTCCTTCCACTCCCCATCTCTTCTCCCCTCCTGTCCCCCCACCTCAGCCCTTGGAGTCCCAGTCCCCACCTGTTGTAGTAGAAAGAGAAGACGTCCTCTTTTAGCACCCCTTGGGAGATGATGTTGTCGAAGATAGGGGTGACCCTGCCAATGGCCTGTTCAATGAAGCCCATGCCCACAACCCCATCAAACTCGGCCAGCATGAAGGGTAAGGCGGGCATCTCCGTGACCTCTCCAAACATCTGTGTCACCGTGATTCCACCCACCTGTGGGAGGAAGGACCAGAGGAGACCAAGCCCACTGCCCACTCCTTGGTTGGAGTCTGGTCTGGGCTTCCACACTAGGGATCCCAGGGGCACACATGCTCCAGGGTACAGAAATCGGGGTAAGAGTATTTCCTCAACCCTGCACGCACACACTCTGTGCCAATACACATCTCTGCTGCGGAGCCCAGAGAGAGCTAGAGTTGACCAGGGATCGGAGAGCAGAGGCTGAGAGGGTGGTCCTGCCAAGCAGCAAAAGAAAAGCTGCCAAGAGCTCCTCCCCTCCCCAGTGGCCAGACTTTCGTGCCTGGCAGGACTGGGTCTTGGCCCCCACCCTTATCATGGGCGAAGGGTTTCTTTAGCACAGACAAGCTTGCCCTTCTCCCTCCTTTATATCTGAGTTCACAGAAAAAGGAAGGGAGGCAGGAATCACCCTGATTTCCTCTCAGGTGCCACGTGTGCCCCTCCCCTAACTCTGATGGAGCAGGGCCTGAGAAACTCCAGGATGAGGAAACGGTCAGACATGGGCCACATGGAAAAGAAAAGCAGGCCTTGACCTGAGTCCCAGAGTCAACCTCAACTGTGACCTTAAAACCTATGCCTGACCCTAAAACTCAGCCTGACTCTGACCCTGGATTTCAGTCTAGGGTGTAGCCCAGTCAGAGCTGGTGAACTTGGACGAGTTACTTGACTGCAGCCACGGGGCTCAGGACAAGCCCTACATGCAAGTTAGATGCAAAAACATCCACAAACCACCCAACGGTGAGCCCGTAGCCCAGGCTTGCTCCCCCATAGGTACTGCTGCTTTGCAGCAACAGCCAGATGTGGCAGAGTAGGGTGTTCCTCAGCTCCCCAGGCTCCAAGTGGGCTGCAGTGTACCTCCCCGCAGGTGTGGGCCCTGGAGGGTCAGGAGAGGCCTGGGGACAGAAGGGGTCCGGGGCAGATGACCTAGGGCGGCCCAACTTACGGTGATGATGTCCTGGCTGAGAAAGCCACTGACTGTCCCTGTTGAATAGCGGAGGGTGAGTTCTGTTCCATTGTGCTTGTAGCTGGAGGAATCCGAAGCATCGAAGAGCTTGTGATACACTGGCAGGGGGACAGAGGCTCAGGTTTGTCCAAGAGTGGCCCAGACAGGGGGACTCAGAGGCAGGGTGCATTGTGGGTATGGCTGGTTAGCTTAGGTGCAGGGATGAGTGGCCCTAGGGTCAGGGGGCTTGGAATATGTGCTTCATCAATCAAGGACTGGGTTTCTTGGGCTCTCCTAATGTGCCCATACATCGAGAATTTTGTCCTAAATGAAGGAATTTAAAGTAATCACTAACACTGATAACACCAGAGAAGATGCCAGGCACAGAGTAAGTGCCTAGTAAGAGGTTGTTGATTAAGACTAGGGATGGAAGAGTTCCGAGTGCCTGGGATGGGTTTGAGAATTCAGTCCTGTCTCAATCTCAGGAAGACTGGGAAGTGGCCTTCTGGGTGCTCAGGGGTTCTTGGACCTTTTTTTGTTTTTAACCTTGGTGGCTGTATCAGAAAAACGGGAGACATCTTCCCCTCTCCCCTACATGTCAGTGGGCACAGAGGCAGAGAGGAAGCCACTCCCTTGGTGGCAAGAGGGATGGGAGCTGGGTGTTGGGCAGGATTGCTCATGCACAGTAGGGCAGGGGGATGGAGGAGAGGCACTGTGGGTCTTAGGTCTCACCACAGGCAGTGTAGAGACGGCTGCACTTGGAGGAGGGCACCCAAACATTGGACGAACCAGTGTCAAAGACGACTTTGAAGGTCTGGGGTGGGGTGCCGATGCCAATCTCGCCATAGTACTGGGTCTGTGGGGGTAAAAAGAGAGGGCTGGAGGGGCTCAGGGGACCTTGGGTCTTGGGGTCTTGCCTGGCTTCACTCTTGGCTCTCGGTGTGAGACTTGGCCCAGGCGAGGTCCTATAGCCTCTCGGGGTTTCCATTTTCCTGCAGGAACTGGTAGGAGGCTTAGCATCTCCCCATGGCATCCCAGAAAGTGGGAGTCTCAGTAAGACAAGAGGGCAAAATCAAAACATTGAGAATGAAGCAGGAAGCAAACTTGACTCTTGAGGATCCTCTGGGGCAGGAAGCCATCAGGTTGTGCTGGGCCAGGTCACAGAAACCCCCACCTGAGTCACACACCCCTTCCCACCCACCTGTGACACCTGGCTTGAGGCCTGGGCTGAGTTCCAAACCTAACCCTGCCCCTGAATGGCCCCTGGATGCCTTCCTGTCTTCTGTGCTCAGGCTTTCCAGCTGGAAAATGGGAATTTTCTAGGGTGCTCACGTGCTACTCAGCGCCTTCGTCAAACACAGCTTGGAAAGGGTGAGTCTTGCAGCAAAGAAAGCCCTAGGTCCATGAGGGAAAGGAGACAGGGAGGGAGCGAGGGGCTGAGCCAAGCACTCACGTCCATGTAGTTGGTGAGGATCACGGAGGAGGTGGTGTTGCCAAGTGTCAGCCTCTTCATGGGTTGGCTCCACTCGGGACCAAGCCTGGCCATGTCCACACCTCGTTCCTTCAGGCTTTCTCGGATTGAGGGCATTCTCTTGAGGAAGATCCTGGCCCAGGGTGGAGGAAGCAAAAATAGAAAAGTGCTGTACCTCCACCACAGTGGTGGAGTCCCTGAGGCCAAACCCCTGCTTTTAGTACAACCACCTTTAACGTTAGCCCAGCCACCTGGAAATCACCTCTGTCGCTGAGGGCCTCTGGAGCATTTATAAGAGTTACTTCTTGTCAAGAGTCAATTTAGAGGAGTCAGCTGCCCGGGGATTAAATAACCCTGAAGTGACTTCCTTCTGTTGCCTAATTTTGATTAGACAAGGCTATTTGTTTATTGGTCCGTTCATTCATTTATTCCGTAATCACCTGCTGAACAACTACTTTGTGCCTCACTGTGCTGGACACTGGAGCTAGAAAGATAATGATCATGACTGCCTTTAAGGAACTCCACCTGGCGGGAGGACAGACAGGAAACAGGCACAGACATTCCCTCTGAAGAGATTAATGCCAGGGAGTGCCCCTGTCAAAACTAGGGGCTGGCGGGGAGACAGTGCCATGGGAGGCCGCTAGGTGGCAGCAGATGCCCACAGCAGCTGCAAGGTCTCCAGGATACCAGGGGACAGGCACCCAGCCAGGGCTGTGGTGGAGTGGACCCCCTGAGCTGGGTTGGGCCTAGAGAGATGCCAGCATCTTCAGAGCGCCATGCACCTCGTCCTTGGAGAGATGTGTCCCGGTCCCTTGGCTTCTTGTCTAGATGTTTTCCCATCACCTTTGAGAGGCAGAATTAAAGAGACCTAGGAAACTGACTCTACTGAGCCGCTACTGAAATCACACCAACAAGCTAGCTGTCATCCATTTTATAGATGAGAAAAATGAAGGCTCACAGGGACAAAGGTGACTCAGAAATGTTGAAGCAGGGATTCAGAGCATGTGTCTGGCCCTATTTCCCATATAGGGTCCCCTGGGTCCCGACATAAAGGCTGCCAAAGCCCAGAGGAAGATGTCTCTAGCTGTTCACGGGAAGGTCCCAGGATGGAAGCCCAAGTTGACTCTGCAATAGACTTTCCCATACACACAAAGATTCCCTCTTTCTTCTACTTTCTTCTCAGTGGCTAGTCCTCCTATACTCACACTACCCTTTCCTTCCTACATCCTTCTTGCGTCCCATGCATTCTACTTACCCCCATTTTGCCCATGAACATGAATGCAACTTTTATGCCTATCAGCATGGTATTGTAACAGAAATGATTTGTTATCTTCCTATCACAGGTTACTGTTACCAAAATATTTTCACAATCATTATTTTATTTGCTCTCATAAGGTGGATGATTTTATTACTCCCACTTCACAGCTGGGAACGTGGAGGGTCAGAGGTTTGGCCCCAAAGAGGTTGCATTTCCCACTGTTTACTCACAACAGCCTATGCTTTGGACCTTTACTTCTTGCCATTTCCTTTTCAGAAAATCCTTTCCTTCTTCCCTTCCTTTTCCCCCCAGTTCTTTAGTCCTCCAAGGCCCAACATGTACCCCCACCTCCAGGAAGCTTACCCCAAGGCCTCCAGCCCACACCGGCCTCACCTTCCCGTGGGCCTCAGCTCTGTTTTTCCTTGGGTCTCACAGCCCACACTGTACAGCTTGTGGAACTGGTGCCGTACGGTGGTGAAGACAGTGGTTGCAGGGGGCATGCCTGAATCCCCTTACCACTTATGTGATTCTGAGAAAGCTACCTAACCTCTCTGGGCCTCTTCTAAGTCTCCATTAACCCCTCTCTAACAATGGGCCTAATGGTAGTACCTACCTCAGAGTCACTGTGCAGATGAAACCATGCGACCACTGCTCAATAAATGTAAATTGTAGGTGTGTATATGTACATGTTCACCTTGAGAATGGAGCTCATTCATTCAGCTGTCCCAAGTGCCTCGCATGATGCTCTGCACATAGCGGGTAGCAAAATTCCTATAATACTGTTTCAAAAGCTGGATTCCCCCTCCACCCCTTGCCCAATTCCATTCTTTTTCTCTTTTGGATAACAGCAGGGGAAGATGTTTTTACTTTCCTCTACCTTTATCCTGGAGTGCAGCTGCTTTGAAGCACCCATCCTCTTACCCAGTGCTCACAACCCAGCAATTACTCTCCGAGAGCCTCAGAGCAAGGGAAAGCAGTTTCGGAAGCAAAAGGCCCAGTGTGTGTTGAGGCTTAGCCTCTTACATATCACCTCCCTGAGCCTCAGTGTCCTCATCTGCAAAGTGGGAATGCTGAGTTGTTGGGGGCATGACTTGAGATGAGACATGTGAAAAGATCCTGTGACACCCTAAGCATTTTATAGGCTTAGCAACTATTACCATTATTAAAGTGTGCCTCCCTACCTTCAGGACTGCTGGTCATATCTGCTGTCCCCAGATTGAAAACCCCTTTCTCTGTGAGGCCTTTTCTCAAATGCTGTCTCTTCCCCTTCTTCAGTCTTTTTTTTTTTTTTTTTTTTTTTTACATAAGGTCTGGCTCTATCACCCAGGCTAGAGCACAGTGGGTCAGTCTCTGCTCACTGCAGCCTCCACCTCCCAGGCTGAAGTGATGCTCCCACCTCAGCCTCCCGAGTAGCTGGGACTACAGATTTGCACCACCACACCTAGCTAATTTTTGTATTTGTACAGACAAGGTTTCACCATGTTGCCTAGGCTGGTCTTGAACTCGTGAGCTCAAGCGATCTGCCCACCTCAGCCTCTCAAAGTGCTGGAATTACAAGCATGAGCCGCGTGCCCAGCTTCCTTCTACAGTCTTAATGAATCACTTGTTCCCACAAGGCCTGGCACCTAGGGGATGCTAAGGTTTTCTCCTTCTAATTGTGGGCTACCTAAAGCCTTGTTTTTTTCTTTCTTTTTTTTTTTTAGACTGAGTTTTGCTCTTGTTGACCAGGCTGGAGTGCAATGGCGCTATGTCGGCTCACTGCAACCTCAGCCTCCCAGGTTCAAGCGATTCTCCTGCCTCAGCCTCCCAAGTAGCTGGAATTACAGGCATGTGCCACCACGCCCGGCTAATTTTGTATTTTTAGTAGAGACAGGGTTTCTCCATGTTGGTCAGGCTGGTCTTGAACTCCTGACCTCGGGTGATCTGCCCCCCTCGGCCTCCCAAAGTGTTGGGATTATAGGCGTGAGCCACTGCTCCCGGCCAAACCTTGCTTTTGATATTTGTAAGAATCTATCCTGTAGTACTAACAGTAGCTGGGCTCTTACAACGTGCCCAGCTTTCTATGCCTTATCTCCTAAAATCCCCAAAGCAGCCCCATCAAGTAGGTACTGTTATTATCATACCTGTTTAAAATGATAAACTGAGACTTGGAGAGGTTAAATAACTTGCCCATGATTCCAGACCTAGTTTGTTCTGCTAGTGAAGCAAAATTTAAATGAAGGCAATCTAACTCTATAAGCCTTGCATTTAACCACGATATCAAGCTGCTTCCCTGGTACAGTTAACTGTACCCATGCCCCGACCCCCGTCTTTTTTTTTTTTGAGATGGAGTCTTGTTCTGTCACTCAGGCTGGAGTGCAGTGGCACGATCTTGGCTCAGCAATCTCCACCTTCCGGGCTCAAACGATTCTCCTGCCTCAGCTTCCCGAGTAGCTGGGGATTACAAGTGCCTGCCACCATGCCCGGCTAATTTTTGTATTTTTAGTAGAGATGGGGTTTCCCCATGTTGGCCAGGCTGGTCTCAAACTCCTGACCTCAAGTGATCCGTCTCAGCCTCCCAAAGTGCTGGGATTACAGGCAGGAGCCACCGCGCCCAACCACCCATGCCCTTCTTAATATTCAGGCTGTGAGCTCCTCAAGTGCAAGGGGCATGTCCTAATACTTCTGAGTTCTCTACAGTGCTTAGTTAGCATGGTGCTCTGGGCAGGAAGCAAAAGTCACAGCTTCTAGACCTGACTACTAGTGTCATTTATTGGGCAAGTCACTTGACCTCTCTGAACAGGTCCATACTTCCCTGTCCAGCTGATCGTAAGGACTGAATGACACCGCATGTGGAAAAGCCAGGGTGTTGGGAAGGTGGGAACCCTGCACCCCTCCCACCCCTTCTCTGCCTGAGTTACCAATTACCGTTTAAAGGTGGTGGTGTCTGTCGGGAGACCAAAGGTACAGGAGCCCCAGAGCAGCAGCAGCAGTCCCCAGCGAGGCATCCTTCTCCATCCATCCATGCTTCCCTCAGTCTGGGGCTCTCTCTGAGATCCACTGAGGTTCTGTGGCTCCCTTAGCCCTTCCCCTTTTATACACTCCATGCATGGGGTGATTGCAATTCTGCTCTGCCCTGATTTATTACCCTGGGGTAGATGGCAGGGCAGTCAGCAATAAATCTCACTGCGGGACAGAGCTAGGTGGGTGAAGGGTACCCAGGTTTCCGGATGGGGAGCAGAGGGGCTGGAGGAAGGACAGCTGTGGGAAAGCAATCTTGTGTCCAGTGACGCTAGCAGCCCTCTATCTGGCTTGGCCCTGTGACCCCTGGAGCAGGCAGAGGCTGATGAGAAACAGCACTGCTCAGGGCTAACATCAAAACTGGGACAAGCGTAAAACCTAGGTTTCCAGCTCCCTAGCCCAGACCCAACCCCTATACCCTGGAAGCTCCATTCTCTATATTAACTTTGGCTTTGTCCCTGACTGGCCTCTCCCAGGCTACAGCCCAGTTTTCCCATCTAGAACATGGGTGAATCTTCATGACTGGTTTCTTGGCAGGAAAAGCAACAGCTGGTTTAATTATAAGAGTAGAGGGGCCAGGCATGGTGGCTCACACCTGTCCCAGCACTTTGGGAGGCCAAGGTGGGTAGATCACCTGAGGTCAGGAGTTCCAGACCAGCCTGACCAACAATGGTGAAACCCCATCTCCACTAAACTACAAAAATTAGCTGGGTGTGGTGATGGACACCTGTAATCTCAGCTACTCAGGAGGCTGAGGCAAGAGAATTGCTTGAACCCAGGAGGCGGAGGTTGCAGTGAGCTGAGATCATGCCACTGCACTCCGGCCTGGGCAATAAGAGTGAAATTCCATCTCAAAAAAGAAAGAGAGTGGAGGGAGACTTAGCATGACTGACTCCATTTTGCCTCTGACCCCCAGGGGTATTATCCTTTAGGCTAAAAGCTTCTGCTTAGCTCTGTACATAGACCAGCTAATTATAGGAGTTTAGCTTGCAGTTCAACTTTAAAAAAAATGGTAACAGTTCCTTTCCCCAAACTAACCCCCAAGGAGATAAGGAAATATACAGACAAATAACAATGTTATGTTAAAGATGTATAGGAACATTGTGACCTGACCTAGAAAAAAGAAGTTTTACAACGTCCTCAGACCCTTGCTGGCACCCAGGTGTCTGTGGTCATCAGTCACCTCTTGATCCCAATCCCCTTCTTCTTCCCCTTCCCTTAACATAAAGAAGAGCCTAACGTTCATGCTGACTTCAGATGGTTCTTTATGATGCTGGTCCACCATCTTCTTGGTTTTCTGGTTCTCTGAATAAGGTAGCTTTCCTTGCCACAATACCTTGTCTCTAGACTTATTGGCTGTTGTGTGGCAAGTGATACGAGCTTGGACTCAGCTACTCATAGCCTTGAACAGTCTTTCTGTGTCTGATTACATTCAAGTATTGTTTTCATCAGGTTTGACTTACAGGTTATCTAAATGGGCTTCCCATAAGAAGAAGCAATCACACTACAGAAAGTTTTTCTTTGCGTTTTTGGTAGCTGGCCTAAGAAACAATTATTTTAGGCTGGGAAACAGTGGCTCATGCCTGTAATCCTAGTGCTTTGGGAGGATGAGGTAGGAGGCTCACGCTCACTTGAAGCTCGTTCAAGACCAGCCAGGGCAATATAGCAAGACCCCATCTCTGAAAAAAATTAGCTGGGTGTGGTGGTGCGTGCCTGTAGTCTTAGCTACTGGGGAGGCTGAGGCGGGAGGATCACTTGAGTCCAGGAGTTCAAGGCTGTAGTGAGCTATGATTGTGCCACTGCACTTTAGCCTGGATGACAGAGTGAGACCCTGTCTCAAAAAATAAAAGGAAAGATTTTACATTTTCTCAAGATAATTCCTCATTCTTGTTATCTTTATCAGGTTTTTGATTACTTAGGAAAACTGAGCTTTAGAAAGGTTAAGTCTTTATATTCATGTAACTTTCTGTATTGCTATTAAAGTCTTTTAATTATCACTTTTGTGAAATGAATAATTATTATTTTACAAAGACCGGCGGTTCTGTTTTGATCAAATGGTTTGAGGCTTTAACATTTTGACAAATGTCCTCAAAATCTAATCCTAAATTAAGTTTGAAATGTTGCTAATTCTTTATGTTTTGTTTTCCAGAGTCAAGAAAGCCTTTTTTTTTTTTCTGAGACGGAGTCTTGCTCTGTCACCCAGGCTGGAGTGCAGCGGCGCAATCTCGGCTCACTGCAAGCTCCACCTCCTGGGTTCACACCATTCTCCTGTCTCAGCCTCCCAAGTAGCTGGGACTACAGGCACGTGCCACCACGCCCAGCTAATTTTTTGTATTTTTAGTAGAGACGGGATTCCACCATGTTAGCAAAGATGGTCTTGATCTCCTGACCTCATGATCTGCCTGCCTCAGCCTCCCAAAGTGCTGGGATTACAGGCGTGAGCCACTGCGCCTGGCCCGCCTTTTTTCTTTTTGAGCTATTTATAGCTTATAGAAATTGGGTTTACCTTTCTCTCTGTACCTAATATCTCCAGGATTTAAAAAACTATTAAATCCCTCTGGGCCCAAGGACGCTCATGGAAGAGGTGGGCACAAAACACCTTTTGATGTACTAATTTTACTTTTAAGGAGTAAAATTAGTTCAGATCCTCCAAATATAGGTACACAGATGCCTAAACAGCTGATGGCTCAACACATAGAACTTATAGAAAGGTCAGTTTTGTACCTTTGCTATTTGGCTTTTGGTTTTGGCTCTTATGTTACTTAAAAGGTTTTAAGGGTTAATGAATGCTTGGCCACCTCCCTTACCAAATGGCCTAAAACGTTTAATTGACTACAAGTCTTTTGGCTTTGAGTTCCTTAGCCACAGGGATCCTACCAAGGGATGTGATGGACCTGGGGCACATAGCCACAACACCCCCAGCAACAATATGGAACAAAATAAAAGTTTGGCCATTTATGCTGCCTTTGGTATATCTTGGCCAAATGGGAGAATGTCAACTAAAAATAAAATATTAAGCCCCCTGCTGACTGAATGGACCCCCTCTTGGCTAAGGGGACCCCAGAAAAACCTTAAAAACTTAGTCTTCAGGTATAATGTGATGGGAAGTCAGATACGCCTCATTATACCCTCTCCCTTTTGTGGTTTAGATACAATAACTAATCAACACTAATGTTAAAATAGAGGTCATAAGACTGACATAACTGAAATTTTGTGGCAATAAAATACCATATTATAAACAGGACCTAAGGCCATGCCAGGCAAGAGTTAAGTCATGCATCCTTACACTTAAAGAATAAGCTATATTCTCAATGACACAAGGTTTCTCTTTTTCTCTAGCAGCTAAGCAAGCACTGGCCTTAAGACAAGCAATATTAAAACAATTTCAACTCATCCAGTTCATAGATGCTGACTAACTGAACCCCAGTTCCACCAGCCATAACTATAGCTTTGATTGAACAAAAGACTGATTTCACTAATTTTCTCCTGATAATAAGACTGCTGGCCATGAACTGGTTCTAGCTAGTTATAGAGATTGTGCATTTGCATGCCTTTGTGTTCTGAAAAGACCTTTTGATGTACAGGGCCTAATTGTAGTACATTTAAATGTTACGCTTTCACCTCAAGGTAAACATGGGTCATATGTAACATGCATGTTTGTACAATACGCATGTGTCAGGATCACCTTCATAAATATTCGTAGCTTCTTCTGTAACATACATACATTGAATATGTATGCTTAGCCAACTGCTGTCATAGTCCCACAGGAGCCCTGGGTAAAATTGACAGTGGGGAACAAACTTATTGACTTTCTTATTGATACAGGGGCAACGTATTCTGTAGTTAATACCCACCTACCTTAATTCAAAGACTATCTATGATGGTGACAGGAGTGTCAGGGGAGCTGTGACTTGTCTCTTCCTGAAACCTTTAGATTATCATCTTAGAGACCACAATCCATGGGAAAAACTGAAAAGATGAACCATACTCTAAAAAGAAGCATTGCCAAAATATATCAAGAAACTAATTTGACTTGGGATAAGATGTTGCTGATTGCTGTTGTGGATTCGAGTGGCTCCCTCAAGTAGGTTCAAATTGAGCCCCTTTGAAGTATTATCTGGTAGCCCATTCTAGGTTTTTGTCCTGGTGGGAGAACCAACTGATGTTTTAAGAGATTTGGCAATTACCAAATATTAAGACTCTAGGCACTATACTAACTTCTGTTCATGAGTTTGCTTCTAGCAGGACCACTCATCCAGCAGATGTGGTCCTACATCCTTTTCAACTGGGAAATTAGATCCTCCTAAATACCTGGAAAGAACAAGGACCTGAACACCAATTTGCTGCCAAGTGGACAAGGCCATTTGAGCTGCTGGTGAACACACGCTTATCAGTTAAACTTGCTGGAGTAAAGCCATGTGCACATTATACTCAGGTCAAGGCAGTACCACCAGAAGACAGCCCACTAATCCGGAAACCAGGAAAACAGTGGGCTTGTGAGCACTTGAAAGACCGAAAGCTACTGTTTCACAAAAAGATAAGTACAATGAAAATGTATCCCCTATGTGTCTTGCATGTCCTTTAGAGATTTTTGTTTCCTTGGCAAGACAACTCTTGAGTTAGGATTTCTCAATCTATTGCCTCTTTCACTAGCATATCACACTGCCAGATTTGTCATCTTAAACCTTGTTCAGTACATGACCACTCTGATCCTCTAGTTGTTCCTGTACACATAATTTTAGTCATGTAGCCTCTTGGGCATTAGATCTATAGAAGCTGGTTTCTCAAATCATACATAGGATCCAATTGATAACTCCATACCCAGAGGCCCCATGTTTCTTTCTTATGCAGCACCTCATTAGACACTACATGCAAAGCAATAATAAGGACCCACAAGCCTGCAAGCCTACTTTCTTTTTTTTTTTTTTTGAGACGGAGTCTCGCTCTGTCGCCCAGGCAGGACTGCGGACTGCAGTGGCGCAATCTCGGCTCACTGCAAGCTCCGCTTCCCGGGTTCACGCCATTCTCCTGCCTCAGCCTCCCGAGTAGCTGGGACTACAGGTGCCCGCCACCGCGCCTGGCTAATTTTTTGTATTTTTAGTAGAGACGGGGTTTCACCTTGTTAGCCAGGATGGTCTCGATCTCCTGACCTCATGATCCACCCGCCTCGGCCTCCCAAAGTGCTGGGATTACAGGCGTGAGCCACCGCGCCCAGCCGCAAGCCTACTTTCTACTTACCAAATGGCGTCCCTAAGCTAGCCACCTGTTGCTAGCTTAATTCCTCCTCTACAGACCCATATTGATACAATTAGACAACAGGCTACCTGGCTTTAACAAACCTTAGAACACCAAAGCAGGCTTAATCTGGGGGCACTTACAGAGACTGCTTTAAAGACCTATTCTCCTGGATTCCTAGTGTAATTCCATCAATCTTGGGAGGCATTCTTAAATTCAGCCTTGATGTTCTTCTTTTAGTCATGGTGGCCTACGTTCTAGTAAAACTTATTATGTACTGTGTAAACAAAGGTTGTGCAAGTCTCGCTAAAACTATCAAAGCAAAAAGGGAAATGCCGATGATCATTGTTCCTAAAAATGGCACTACGAAATATTTCCTTAGCCAGGTCAAATGGTTTCATTCCATAGTCACCCCTTGTCAACCCTGTTTGGCAGGAAGTAGCCAGGTGAGTAATGATGTCTCATTTTCCCCAATCCCACAAGACTGTGGGATGAACCTTTGACAATGGGGAAATTGAAATAGTGGAGGGAGGCTTAGCATGACTGACTCCATTTTGCCTCTGACCCCCAGGGGTAATATCTTTTAGGTTAAAAGCTTCTGCTTAGCTCTGTACACAGACCAGCTAATTATAGATTAGCTTGCAGTTCAACTTAAAAAAATGATAACAGCTCTTTCCCCCAAACTAAGCCCCAAGGAGATAAGGAAGAATACAGAGAAATAACAATGTTATGTTAAAGATTTATAGGAACATTGTGACCTGACCTAGAAAAAAGAACTTTTACATACTCCTCAGACCCTTGCTGGCACCCAGGTGTCTGCGGTCATCAGTCACCTCTTGATCCCAACCTCTTCCTCTTCCCCCTCCCCTAAATGTAAAAAGTAACCTAAAAGTCATGCTGACTTCAGATGGTTCTTTATGACGCTAGTCCACCATCTTCTTGGTTTTCTGAATAGGGTCGCTTTCTTTGCCCCAACACCTTACCTCTCAGCTTACTTGCTGTTGTGTGGTGAGTGGTGTGTGCTTGGATTTGGTTACATAATCCTCTGGAAGCAGGGAGCTGGGGGAGGAGGGGGTTGTCTATCCTCTGTTGACCTAGTAAGGGTGGGAGAGAAGGGCAGTCTTCAGGGTTTTGGCTTCTGCTAAATAGAGGTAGGGCAGCTGATCTTCCAACTTATTCTCCTCTTTCTGCTTGGCTCTAACTCCCTTTTAGGCCCTGGTTCTCTGCCTCATTTCCTTTTCCCTGTAGCTTTACAAGCAGTCAAGTACAGCTCCCCAGACAGACATCTGGTCCCTAAATCCCAGGATGAGTGCTATTTATTCAGGCTAAGATGCCTATCTTGGCTTTTCCCTGATTATTTTTTAGGGCCCACTTCAAATATTACCCCCTCCTCCATGAAGCAGGCCCTGACTCAGCCTGGAATTGACTGCTTTCTGCTGTAGGCTTCCACAGCATGGCTACAAGCCCTTCTATGACAGCACCAACTTAGCTGCTTTTGCAGCAGAGTTCTTTATGTATGTATGAATATGATTTTTGCCCACAGTGGTGCTTAATATTTATTAAGTGGATGAACTAGTGAACTGCAATGGGCAGTGCAAAGAGCCCTGGGTTGGTGGTCAGGGACTTGGATCCTAGTCTTCATTCTACCATAAATTTGCTATGTGATGTTGGATCCCTCCTTTCTCCTCTTTGGACCTCAGTTTCCAAATCTGTACAGTGAAGCAGATGGCTGGATGGCACCAAGGGTGTCTTCATGCTCTGATACCCTAATATTCTAATATTCTGTGCCTCCAGGGTACTGCCCTCTACACCAGCTCCACACCAGCTGTGGGCAGTACAGACAATGAGAGGAGCTCATCTCTGTGGCTAATGTTTTGGCTAATTAATGTGTTTTGACCTCAGAGATGATAAGGCCCTTTCCAAACGATGGACCCTAGTGGTGATTTTTCAGGAACTGTGGTTGGGAGTGGGGGAATTATTTGGGGACAGGGGAATACTTTTAGATCCTTCATGGTAGGGGTATCTTGTCAGAATAAATGAACATTTATGAAGCACCCCTAAATTGCTCTTTCAGTCCTCTTTCATTTACTAGCAAATATTCATGGAGCCTTTATTATAATGTGAGGCACTCTGCTAGATGCTGGAGTTACAAAGTTCACAAAAATAAACACAGTTTCTGCTCTTGTTTATGGATCCCACCGTCTTGTGGAAGAGATAGATTATTATCATCATGCATAAATATAAAATAGCGCTGATGACTAGTGCCAGTCAGGGAACTCCAGGAAGCTTCCCTCCCACCCAAAATTATACTCGCATTGTGATCTGAAGGCTGCATTGGCAATGAATAGCTGAAGACAAAGAAATAGAGTCCCAGCAGGAACAGAACGTGCGAAGGCCCTGTGGAGAGAGGATGATGTCAATAAAAACAAAAAAAGCCAACATATCAAGAACAGAGAGATGAGAGAGAGCGGGGTGAGACATGTGGCCAGAGGCAGGAGCTGAAAGAGCTAACACTTACTGAATACTTACTATGTGCAAGATACCACTCTAGGTGTTTAATGCACTTAATTCTCACAATAACCATATGAGGTTGTAGCATTATATCACTATTTTACAGATGAGGACATTGAGGCCCAAGAGGATTCAAAAGGTAACTTGCCCAAGGTCCCACTGGCAATAAGGGCCAGAGTCAGACAGTAAGTTTAGGCTGTGTGGCCCAGAACCCAGTACATAGATGCGCTGAGTGTCAAACCATAAAGGTTCTTGCATCCCATGTTAGGAAGTTCTGTGTTTACCCTAAGAGCCATGGGAAGCTGTTGACCCATTAAGAAGTGAATGAATGTAATTAGATGTTTTTGCAGACAGGTGAAGAAGGGACTGATGGGCCAGGTGCAGTGGCTCACGCCTGTAATCCCAGCACTTTGGGAGGCCGAGGGGGGCGAATCACCTGACGTCTGGAGTTCAAGACCAGCCTGGCCAACATGGGGAAACCCCGTCTCTACTAAAAATACAAAAATTAGCTGGGCGTGGTGGCAGGCACCTGTAATCCCAGCTACTCTGAAGGCTGAGGCAGGAGAATCCCTTGAACCCGGGAGGTGGAGGTTGCAGTGAGCCAAGACTGCGCCATTGCACTCCAGCCTGGGGAACAAGAGCGAGACTTTGTCTCAAAAAAGAAAAAAAAACAGAAGGGAATGTTGTAATTAGATGTGTTTTGCATGTGTTTCGGCTGCAGTGTGGACTAGCAAGGAGTGGGGATGGGTCCAGAATAGCATGGCATATACCAGTTAGGAGGTCATGGTGCTAGAACTAGCTTGGTCTAGGGTACTTGGGCATGGTGAAGATGAAAAAGATTGGATGGATTTGAGAGAAATTTAGGAAATAGAATCTGCAGGACTTGGTGACAGATCGGATATAGAGAGTGAGGAAGAGATTGGTTTTTGGAGGCACTCTGGGTACATAGAGTGATGGAAGAGAACGAGGATTTCAGAAGGGGAAGAGGGTTGGAGAGACCATAAGTTTGAGGAACTGTTGAGTATGGATCTCCTTTGAGACATCCCAGGGGTGATATCAAATGGCAGGTGCATAAATAAACCCGGGTGAAAGATTTATGTGTTATTTGCAATTGGTGATTAATGCGACAGGTATGAATGAAATTAGCCAGGGAGAAGGTGAGCAGCAAGAAAGCCCTGGACTCTAAGCTTTAAGGACAAGCAGCAGAGGAGGAATCTGCAGAGGAGACCCCAAAGGAGTGGCCACAGAGGAAGGAGGAGAGCAGCAGGTGTCTCTGAAGTTGCAGGGAGAGACTGTTTAAGGAGAGATGGTGAGGGACAGTAGGTGCTGCTGCAGGGTGAGGTGAGACTTGGGTTAAAATGGAGACATGCGGGCCACTGGTGCTGTCAGTGGGAGCTGTTTTGGTGATTCAGAGGGGTGGGAGTCCACACAGGGATGGGTTGATGAATGATGGGAAGTGCTACGATGTGAATGTTTGTGTCCCCCAAAATTCATAGGTTGAAATTCTAACCCTCAATATAATAGTATTAGGAGGATGAACCTTTGGAGAGGTGATTAAGTCCTGATGGGATTAATGCCCTTATAAAGGGGGCCCAAGGGAGCTCTTTTTTCCCCTTCCACCATGTGAGCCACAGCAAGAAGATGCCACTCATGAACCAGGACAAAGGCCCTCGCCAGACACCAAATCTGCCAATGCATTGATCTTGAACTTCTCAGACTTCAGAACTGTGAGAGATAAGTTTCTGTGGTTTATAAGCTACCCAGTTTATGGTATTTTTTAATAGCAGCCTGAACAGACTAGGATAGAAAGTAAGAAGATGAAGACAACATAGTGTAGGCAGCTATTTTGAAAAGTGGAGGAGTAAAAAAGGGGAAAGAGGGTGACGATAACTGGAGGAGAACGAGGACCAGGTGAGAGGTTTTTCTCTTTCTTCCTCCTCCTTCCCTCCTTCCTTCTCCTCCTCCTCTCCCTGACGAAATGCTTAAAAGGTAGCTTGACTCTTTGTTCGGGGCTCAGTCCTTTAGATGTTAATCCGACTGGGTCGGTGCACCTAAATAATTAAATAATTCCTCCTCAACCCCTCGGTCTCTCTGATTCCTTAATTATCCCGCTGCACTGCCAATCTTTTCTAATGATGGGAGGGAGTTGAGTATATTTAATGCATAGAAAGCACTCAGTTGAGAGGAAGAGTTAATTAACGCAGTAGGATTCCTGGGAGGGAAGGAGTATACAGGGTGGGAAACAGCAGGATGGAGCAGACCCTCCACTGCAGCAGGAGGAAAGAAGGCAAGGCATGTGCAGGTGTTAGTGGTTGATTTGCTTGGCATTGGAAGCTGAGGGACTGCCTGTCTGGTGGCTGTTATCTTCTCTGACAAGTAGGAAGCAAGGACCTCTGCTGAGAGTTGGGGATGGGAGGGGGTTTGGAGGCATGAGAAAAATGGAGAAGCTCTGGAATCATTATGGAAAGTGGGAAGAAGGTGGCCAGGGAAACCAAGAGGATTTCTGTGAGGAATGAAGACATTTAATGGCTGGAGATCATGACTTTAAAGGAAGCCAGTTGGCCTGGTTCTCTGTCTCCCCCTACCAATACCACAGTGTCAGCTCCTTGGATACAGATGGAGAGAAAGTATATAGCTGGCTTCATCCAGGGCTAGGGTGATCAAAGATGAGGGACAAAGGAATTTAAGGTTTTAGCAAAAATGTTATTGGACCGGGAGCAGTGGCTCATGCCTACAATCCCAGCACTTTGGAAGGCCGAGACAGGAGGATTGCTTGAGCCTGGGAGGTTGAGACCAGCCTGGGCAACATAGTGAGACCTCGTCTCTACAAAAAAGTACAAAAATCAACTGGGGTATGGTGGTGCCCACCTGTAGTCCCAGCTACTTGGGAGGCTGAGGTGGAGGATTGCTTGAGCCCAAGAGGTTGAAGCTGCAGTGAGCTGTGATTGTTGCCACTGTGCTGCAGCCTGGGTGATGGAGTGAGACCTTGTCTCAAAACAACAACAACAACAACAACAACGACAAAAACTGTTATTGAATGAAAAACTGTGGAATGTAAGGTGGCTAGAGAAGTCAAGACAGGACAGAATGGATGATCTGGAAGGAAGCAAAGGACCATGGCAATTGAGAAGAGTGAGCAGGGCTGGTGGGAACAGTTGAACCACAAAGCTGGAGGACGAGCTGGCTGAGCATGGGATGCTTGAGATAGTCTGGAGGGGAAGTGGTTATAAGTGATAAGTCCCAAGTAGGACGTGGCTGTGGATAGCTGAAGTAGAGGAGGGGTGAGGTTGTTGGAAATGGGGCCCCAAGGATCTGAGAGGCCAGTATGGCCAGGTCACCATCTGCGTGGTTGGTGATGTCATCAGGAGGTTGCAGAGGGCAAGGGGTGGAGGAAGTCTGTAAATCAGGAGCCAAAGTCTTTGATAAATGACAGGGCGGGAACTGCTAGTCCAGTAATGACAGCAGGGAGTGTGTGGAGGGTCCAAGGCAAAAAAGCAGGGCCTGAAGGGAAGAGGGTCTTCTCCCAGTGTCCACATCAGCCTGGGAGGTGAGTGGATCAGTTTCCCCAACAGGAGGAAGCCAAGACCTAGGAGGTTAAGCAGTGTGTCATGATTTGCAGATGGTAAGTGGCAGAGTGGGGACTTGCATCTCTCCTGCACCATATCCTGTGTTGCTCATGGGTACAGTTGCTGGGCTTGAACCTGGGTGGGTGCCCTGCCCCAGAATCTCACTTCTCTCCACCTCGAGCTCGAGGGCCCCTGCGTTGCTGGAGGAGTGTCCATCATGAATCTCAGGAGAGTGCTTAAGAGTGATGCTGTCTCCTTTCCCACCATGACTGCAACCTGTCATAGCCAGCAAGGGTGACTGACCACCCACCCTTTCTCTCCCTCTGCTCTCAGCAAACCCTAGAGGAAAGGGAGCAAGGAGCAGGGAGAGAACAAGTTGGAGGACTGTCAGAGATGGGGTCAGCCTAGGGGCTGCAGCAGAATGTGAGTAACACCAGCCAACTTTCTTGAGCATCTATGATGTGCTATGAGGTGATTTGAACACTACTGGATTTTGTTTTCTAGGCAGCCCTATGAAGTGGTAACTATCATCTGCACTGTTCAGATGAGGCCACTGAGGCTGCAGAGAGCTTAGAGAAGGACAAGCTGAGGGCTTCACTTTGTGACTCCTTCTCTGTGGCTATGGGTGTCAGGAACAACTGGGAGAGCCAATGGGATTCAAAAGAAGAATCTGTAGAGAGTGATCCAACCCCATAGAGCTTTTCTATGTGGAAAGGGGAGCTCTTCTAAGCCCCACGTCTAGTATAGTTTAGACACCCAGTACAGTGCAGCAGAACCCTCACATCTATTTTTGATTAAGTTTCCGGACTCTTCAACAGCAAAGGCAGAGCCAGGAGGTCCAGAGCAGGCAATGTGAAGCCCTGAGCTACCAGTAGATCTAGGTCCCCTGGGGACCCAGCACTCTCCAACCAAACATGTCCTCACTCCCACATCTATCCCCTGCCTCCCACCATGTATGCAGCACCATGACCCCCATGTGGTCCTGAGCCCAGCAGTGCATACAAGTGAGACTATGAAGCATGAATAACCTCACCAGGAGAGAGAAGTGGAACAATGACTCTGCTAACTCACTCTGAGGCTGCAAGCAAGTTGCAGACAAGATCTGCAGAGACCACAGGGCAGGCAAGGAAATCAACTTCTAAGAGGGTAACAGAGTCCAAAATGACAGCCTCTGTCTTATTTCTCCTGGTTTCCACCCCAGCGCACAGCCTGGGAGGGGAACAGTTGGAGGAGAGATCCCGAGATCAGAAAATGGGCAACACAGCTAAGCACGACCATGCATGGTCTGGAGCTGGGACAGGCAAGGGGCCTGAAACCATGTCCTGAAGGTTGGCCAAAGGCCCTGGAGAAGCTTAGCTGGAAGAGAGAAGCCACACATGCGGCCCTGGAAGGAATCAGAACCAGCCCTATTTTCTGTGCCCACAATGCAGATCTGAGGCTCATGAGAAGTGGCGGGATGGGGAGAATCTGTTTGAGTTCCATTCTAAGGAGGAACTGTCCAGCGGTTCACACTGCCCAGCAGGGCAAGTGCCCTCTGAGGCGGTGAACTCCCCTACCTGGGGATAGTCCTGCCCAGGTGCTCAACTGTCAGGGAGCTCCCTGCCATGGACAGGGCCAGGCTGACTCTGTGCCTGTCCAGCTCTGGTGTGTCCTGACTGCCAGGTGGCCTGACCTGTAACTCTCCCATTTCTGCTGCACAGGTGGGGGAAAATACAGAAGGGGAGGTGAAGCTGCCAGGAGAGCCTCTCCTCCCCTCTGAACTTGGGCCTTCCCGAGTCCCAGGCTGGGGATGGAAAAGAGAGAGTATGAGGACCCTTATCAGGTCATCTTTTGACCCCCTTCTGCCCGGGGTCCAGTTCTTCTCACAAAGGCTCGCCAGGATGCTACGCAAAAGCCCTGGGCTGCGTCACCTCTCGCTCAGGGAAGTGGAGTGGGTGGGGGCAGAGGGAAGGGTCATATTGCCCCAGCCCTTTCCCAGCGGGGCAGGGCTGGGACGTGAGAACCAGGCAGGGGAAGCATAAATCCAGTCAGATCCCAGCCCTCTCATCTTACTTCAGATCCCACAACCTCTGGAAATCTCTCAGGACATAAGTGGTGCTCAGGGTTTTTTCTTAAAAACCCCAAATCCCACTCTCCTCCATGATAATGAGCCCAGGGAGATTCAGGTGTTGAGACCAAGGCTGGAGTGGTCAGGGGAGGTCGAGGGTGGAGGGAGGGAAGTCTGGGTAGCATGAAGAGTCTGGTTTGTGCTGCTGCGAAACAGGCATGGATTTATTCTTGGTATCAGCAGTTTAGTAGAAAACTCTTATCATGGCCCCTGCCCAGGGGGTGGTGGTAAAGAGGTAGAACTTGGACTCACTGAGGCTTAGTGCTTGGGAGCTAATCATCTCTTGGCCAGTCCTGCTTCAATTCATTAAAAAGCAAATGGGGCTGGGCATGGTGGCTCATGCCTGTAATCCCAGCTACTCAGGAAGCCAAGGTGGGAGAATTGCATGAAGCCAGGAATTCAAGGCCAGCTTTGGTGACATAGAGAGCCCCTGTGTCTAAAACTATTTTTAAAAAATTATCCAGGCATGGGGGCACACACTTGTAGTCCCAGCTAATTAGGAGGCTGAGGAGGAAGGATAGCTTGAGCCCAAGAGTTCGAGGCTGCAGTGAGCTGTGGCTGGGCCTCTGCGCTCCAGCTGTGTGACACAGCAAGACCTTGTCTCAAAACAAACAAAAGCAAATGAGCAAGCAAGCGGTGAGATCAAATGGCCACGTCTCTCTTCCACCTGTCCTCCTTCCCTCATCATGCTTCACTCCCCATCGCTGGAGAACTCCAGCTGGCTCTGGAGGAATTTACCAATCAGATGGGGCGCTGAACTCTACTAGTAGAGATGAGCAGCTGTGGCCTTGAGAGGAAAGAAAGACCCAGAATGGAGTTTTGTAACCGTCCAGTGCTGCCTTGTGTGGGCAGACTCTCCAGAAGGGATAATTACTCAGAGAGCTCTGGGCAAGGGATGGGCAGGAACGGAAGAACCTTGGGATGGAGGTGGGGTAGGGGTAGGAGTGAGGAGAACCAAGCATCCTTAGTTGTTTGTTCTGGGAACCTTAGAGGAACAGGTATTCAGCCATGGGGTTGGGTGATCCCAACCTGAGGCCTGTTTAACTGGTGACCCAGGAAAATTGAAGGCAGGTTACACAGGTCTTGGGATCTGTAGGGGCCTGGGGCAGGAGGGGATTGGCATGGGGGATGGGGGCTTGGTGGGATAGCCTGATTGAAGGGTGTTCCTAAAATGAGATGCACCCAATGTGGTGGAACCAGACATCAATACCCTGAGGCATGAAAGCTAGAAACATAGAAAAATGCTTTTCCTTAGTGGCACCAGGAGTCTGTTTTGTTATCGAACAAGGTTAAGCTGGAAGGCTCCTTTTCTAGAGGAGGATTTGACAGCACAGCAGTGGAGTGTGTGTGTGCGTGTGTGTGTGTGTGTGGTGTGTAGGGAGTGACAGAGGGGTGGTATAGTGCTAGGGGTTCGTGTGCTGAGTGTCACCAGCAGAAGCATAGCTGGGATGGAGGATGGCTGTTAGGGACAGGGGTTGTACTATTAAAGCAAAATTATCCAGTGCCACTTATTAAAGCACAGTAAGGCAGACTTTACTCAGGACTTTTGAGATAGATACAGGGACCACTGCAACAGGTTCTTGCAGTTGGGGAGAGAAGTTGGGCTCAACTCCAAATACAGCATGGGCAAGTGAAAATGTAAAGCCAAGGAGCATGGTGGGGTCAGTGGATGAAAATTACTAAGAGGAAACATCAGGGGCATGGGGGCATTCTGGCTAAACTCATGTAACAGGATTCCTGCCACAGACAGGCCATGGTGATCAGACATCACCTGTGGCATGGTGCAGGCTGAGGAACCTGGTCAGATATCCAGGGTGATCAGATATTGAGGGTGGGGATTATTTGCTAAATTGACTTAGCAGGGCTCTTTGCTAAAACTGGATTTTACAAGGAAGTGCCCAGATAAACCTAGCAGAAGATTTGAAAGGCATAACTAAAATTTGGACAAGCAAAAATTCTTTGTCAGCACCTCAAGAATACATTTCCCAGAAAACAGACCTCTCTCTTCCTCCCTCCCTGCCTGCCCACCCGCGTCTCCCATCCTTCCTTCCCCCCTTTCTCCTCCTCCCTTCCTCTTTTCTCTTCTCCTTCTTCGTCTTCTTTTTCTTCTTCTTCTTCTTTTTTTTTTTTGAGACAGTCTCGCTCTGTCACCAGGCTGAAGTGCAGTGGTGTGATTTCAGCTCGCTGTAACCTCCACCTCCCGGGTTCAAATGATTCTCCTGCCTCAGCCTCTGGAGTAGCTGG
This sequence comes from Homo sapiens, assembly GCF_000001405.40. Classification (NCBI taxonomy): domain Eukaryota; kingdom Metazoa; phylum Chordata; class Mammalia; order Primates; family Hominidae; genus Homo; species Homo sapiens. Next base: position 204,181,952 of record NC_000001.11, read on the forward strand.
AATTACAGGCACAAGCCACCATGCCCAGCTAATTTTTATTTATTTATTTATTTATTTATTTATTTATTTATTTATTTATTTTTTTTTTTTGAGACGGAGTCTCGCTCTGTCGCCCAGGCTGGAGTGCAGTGGTGCGATCTCGGCTCACTGCAAGCTCCGCCTCCCGGGTTCACGCCATTCTCCTGCCTCAGCCTCCCAAGTAGCTGGGACTACAGGCGCCCGCCACTACGCCCGGCTAATTTTTTGTATTTTTAGTAGAGACGGGGTTTCACCGTTTTAGCCGGGATGGTCTCGATCTCCTGACCTCGTGATCCGCCCGCCTCGGCCTCCCAAAGTGCTGGGATTACAGGCGTGAGCCACCGCGCCCGGCCTAATTTTTATATTTTTTAGTAGAAGCAGAGTTTCACCATGTTGGCCAGGCTGGACTTAATATTTTTTTAATCAGAAAAAAATATGCTGTAGCTTTAAAAATGAATACAACTAAAAGGCTTATAATGAAAACCAGCAATCTCCAATTCCACCCCCACCCCCAGCTCTCAGCCTGGCTCCTCCAAGGTAAGACTGTTAACTCTCTAGACTATTCTGCTATTGTTGGTCATTCATATTCCTAAAGGTGACGCATATACTTTTATTTATTATTATTATTTTTTGAGATGGAGTCTCGCTCTGTCGGAGTGCAGTGGCATGATCTCGGCTCACTGCAACCTCCACCTCCCGGGTTCAAGAGATTCTCCCTGCCTCAGCCTCCAGAGTAGCTGGGATTACAGGCACCCACTACCACACCTGGCTAATTTTCGTATTTTTAGTAGAGACAGGGTTTCACCATGTTGGCCAGGCTGGCCTTGAACTCCTGACCTCAGATGATACACCCACCTCAGCCTCCCAAAGTTCTGGGAATTACAGGCGTGAGCCATCGCGCCTGGCCAAAATTTTACACATTTTTATTACTCTTCTTTTGTGATAGATGAGAATTTCTCTCATATTCCACCCCTTGGTTTTTGACAAAATCAAAACTCAGGTCTTTCCTGCCTTCGGGCCTGGGTGTGCAGGAGGCATAGAGGTCACCACAAGCCCCAGGCCAGCTCAAGCTCTGTGTTGTCCACCCAGGACTGCTACAGAGGGAGCCTTGGTGCCTAAGGAGTGGCTGACGGTAGGGAACAACAGCCAAGGAGGTATATCAGACAGGTTGCTCATCAACTCCCAGCTTGATTCTAGAAAGAACTCCACTCTCCAACCAGTCCAGACACAGAGGAGTCCCTTAGTGGACCAACGACAGACCTTTCTCCCACAGATGGCCCAGGCACATGAAAAGCTAAGAAAATAAATGGCGGGTTCACCACCTGGTTGTTTCAGTATTGAAAATATTGATGGTTCTCTTAGAAAAGTTATACAAATGGATATGGTCTTGTTTGAGATGAACCAGTCGAATTCAAAAGTAAAGAGTTCAGAATCTGAGGATGAAGATGACAGCATCCCTTGTGAAGTCACCATTGATAACATTAAGCTTTCTAATTCTGAAGGTGGAAAAGGCAAGACTGAAGTTTTGGATAGTCTGGCAAGTGAAAACAAAAACAAAAACAACCTCAATATTTACAATAAATAATTATTGTTCACTGTGTATTATGGATTAATTTCCTTTCTTGTGTATTTTGTATATTCATTGTTTAGCATTGCCTCTCCTCTTCTACTTCTTGTTTTTCTATGAACTTATTTATTTATTTATTTAAGACAGGGTCTCACCCTGTCGTCCAGGCTGGATAGCAGTGGTGCACTAGTGGCTCACTGCAACCTCAATCACCCCAGGCTCAAGCAATCCTCCCACCTCAGCCTCCTGAGTAGCTAGAACTACAGGCGTACACCACCACGCTTTTTTTTTTTTTTTTTTTTTTGTATTTTGTGTGTGTGTGGAGACAGGGTTTCACTATGTTGCCCAGGCTGGTCTCAAACTCCTGGGCTCAAGCAACCTGCCCATCTTGGCCTCCCAAAGTGCTAGGATTACAGGCGTGAGCCACTGCACCCGCCTGACCTTATATATTCTGCTGAGATCCTCCAAACCCCTTCCCACCTGGTCTTACACCCAATTTATGGCCCAGTGGGATTTTTTCCAGGGAGCTCTGCCTTGTTGCCCTGGGGACCTCTCTCTGCTACATCTCTGTGTGCTGGTGCCTGGGAATTGCTCTTTCTCAGTTTATGTGTTTGTTTAAATAGAGCTTCCAAAGCTCCCTGAGAAAGAGTGCATGACAGTAAACACTTCTAGCCCTGACATGTCTAAAAAGATCCCCATTTGGACCTTATTCTTGATAGTTCAATGTGAAAAGAATTCTAGGTTGGAATTATTTTCTCTCTGATATTGGAAGTGGTTTTTCCAATATCTTCTTCTTCTTTTTTTTTTTTTTTTTTGAGACAAAGTTTCACTCTTATTGCCTAGGCTGGATTCTCCTGCCTCAGCCTCCAGAGTAGCTGGGAGTTCAGGCACCCACCATGCCCAGCTAATTTTTTTGTATTTTTAGTAGAGACAGGGTTTCACCATGTTGGCCAGGCTGGTCTCGAACTCCTGACCTCAAGTGATCCTCCCACCTTGACCTCCCAAAGTGCTGGGATTACAGGCATGAGCCACTGTGCCTGGCCATATCTTCTTGTTTGAATGAGTCTGATTCTCAACTCCTTCCATGGTTTCATCCCAAGGGGCTTCCACTGCCTTTTCCTTATGCCTGGCCTGGGTCTTTTTTCTTTCATAAGCTGGACACTCAGTGAGCCCTTTCAATTTGGAAATTCATGTCCTTCCATTCTGGCAAATCATCCTGCATTAATTGTTTGGTCATTTCTTCCCTTCCATTTTTCTCTTTTCTCTTTTCTTGGAACTCACATAAGTAGGATGTTGCAACTTTTGTTTGTTTTTCTACTTTTCCTATATTTTATCTCTTGATTTTTTCCTTTTCTTTTTCTTTTCCTTTTTTTTTTTTTTTTTTTTTTTTTGAGAAAGAGTCTCATTCTGTCACCCAGGCTGGAGTGCAATGGTGTGATCATGGCTCACTGCAGCCTCAAACTCCTGGGCTCAAGTGATCCTCCTGCCTCAGCCTCTTGAGTAGCTGGGACTACAAGAGCCCACCACCATGCCTGCTTGATTTCTTTTTGTTCTACTTTCTAGGAGATTTCCTTAACTTTATGTTTCAATTCTTTTATTTTTTTTTAAACATTTTGATCTCATATTTTTAACTTCCAAAGGCCATTTCTGATTCTCTGATAACTTCTGTTTTTACTGCATCCAGCACTTGTCTTATAGATGCAAAATTTTCTTTTATACCTTCAGGGATCTTACACTTTTGTTTTGTTTGTTTGTTTTTCTTTTTTTTGAGACGGAGTCTCACTCTGTCGCCCAGGCTGGAGTGCAGTGGCACGATCTCGGCTAGCTATAACCTCCGCCTCCCGGGTTCAAGCAATTCTCCTGCTTCAGCCTCCTGAGTAGCTGGGACCACAGGCATGCACCACCAGGCCTGCCTAATTTTTGTATTTTTAGTAGAGATGGGTTTCATCATATTGGTCAGGCTGGTCTCGAACTCCTTACCTTAGATCCACCCACCTCGGCCTCCCAAAGCACTGGGATTACAGGTGTGAGCCATCATGCCCGGCCCATTGTGTTTAAGAAACAAGATCTCCTTATGTTTCCTAGGCTGGTTTCAAACTCCTGAGCTCAAGAGATCCCCCGCCTCACCCTTCCAAAGTGCTGGGATTACAGGTGTGAACCACCACAACTGGCCGTTTTTTTTTTTTTTTTTTTTTTGAGACAGAGTCTTTTTTGCTCTGTCACCCAGGCTGCATTGCAGTGGTATGATCATGGCTCACCACAGCCTTGACCTCCCAGGCTCAAGCGATCCTCCCACCTCAGCCTTCTAAGTAGCTGGGACTATTGGGTGCACACCACCATGCCTAACCAATTTATTTTGTTTTTTGTAGAGATGGGGTCTCTCTATGTTGCTCAGGCTGGTCTTGAACTCCTAGCTTCAAGCTATCCTTCCTCTTTGGCCTCCCAAAGTGCTGGGGTTACAGGTATAAAGCACCACACTTGGAAATATGGGACATTTTGTAATTTTTTTTTAACCACACATAAAAAATTGTATCTGTTTTCTGCAGAAAGTGTTTCCTCTGTATTTGTGTGCTTGGTCTACTCTTCCAACTCGAAGTTTTCTTCAAACTCCAGTGACTCCTTGACTTCATTCATGGTTAAGAGGGAAGCAGGTGGAGGGGCCTAGAAACTCAGAGTGCATAGGCAGAACTAATGCGCAGGTGCACCCCACTCTAGTTGGGGGCTCCAAGCTGGCTTTTTTCTGGGGCACCCTCCAATGTCAGCATCTGAAGGTCTTTTCTTTGGGGTCTTTGGTCTCCCGCCTGGGGAATATATACCTTGCTGCCTGCATTCCCGGCACACAGAGAGGGAGGGGGCTTACCCAGAGAGACTGTCACATGGTCCTGCTTTTCAGCCACTCTCTTTTTTTTTTGAAACAGAGTCTTACTCTGTCACCCAGGCTGGAGTGCAGTGTTACAATCTTGGCTCACTGCAACCTCCTCCTCCCTGGTTCAAGCAATTCTCATGCCTCAGCTTCCTGAGTAGCTGGAATTACAGGCACACACCACCATACCCAGCTAATTTTTGTGTTTTTAGTAGAGACAGGGTATCACCATGTTGGCCAGGCTGGTCTTCAACTCCTGACCTCAAGCGATCCGCCCACCTCGGAATCCCAAAGTGTTTGGATTACAGGCATGAGCCGCCGCGCCTGACCTTCAACCACTCTTTATCCACATCTTGATTATGCTTTCTGTCCCCATGACTGGAGTGTCTCCACTGCAGTCCTTGGGAGAGGAAGTGTCTGGCCTCTTCCTGGTGGAGTAGCCTGGTTGTGTTCGCTGCGGGAGGGGAGTCGGGAAATCTAACTCCTCCCTGTGCAGATTTTCAGCCAGTCTCCCTGTTTTCAGTCCAGGTGTCATCTCTACCAGACATTTCCACATGCCAAGGCTTGGTCCTGGGCAGGAATCAGTCATGTCCCGTCGGTAACCCCCTTTGCTGGCTTCAGGTTGTAGCTTCCTTTGCTCTCTGCCAAGCCCATCATACAATTTCCATCTTCAAAATCTTGTTGACATTTCTCATCTGCTCCGGTTTCCTCTCCCTTCTCTTTGTCCTTGAGGGTTTATACCTTTCTTCTTCCTTTGCTTCTTCTAAGGGGCTTAGGGAGTGAGCAAACACAGATGTGTCCAAAGTGGTACTTTTTAACATTTTATGAAGGCAATATGCTGCAGGGTTAATTGTAAAGACTATTGGGCAGATATTAAAGGAATCATAAGAAAGCAAAACCTGAGAAGGTGATGAAAGTGGGGAGCTGTTTGTTGTGTCTTGGCTTCCCCAGTAACCAAAAGCAAACCTTGTCCCCAGGCTCCGCATTCTGCACCAAGCACGAAACCATGATAGGTTCTGATGTCTTTTAAAATGGAAGATGGAAAAACGGAAGAAGGCACAGGTGAGGAAGGGCACACTGTTTGGACTTGACATCCTTCCCCTCCCTGTGACCAATTCTAGACCTGGGAAGCTGCTGGCAGAGAGAGAAGGCAGGCAGGGGCAAGAGCAGATGCCTGGCCCCTGGCATGTGGTCTGAGAAGAGGAGACCTGCCCTGGGGATTGGTGACTTGTCTGTATTGTCACTAGTGTTGTGGAGAGGCACTGCAGATGGGTTGGATAGAGTGACATTGCCTGCCAGACTGCTTCCCAAGACAAATCATTCAGGAAAAGGGTTGGGTTTGCTACCTGGCAGTGCTTTCTTAAGTGGCATAGGGGCTACAGAAGAAGGAAAGGCTACAGTATGTAGGAAGCTTATGGTGTTTGCAATTAGAATGTGGGAGTCTGACTCTTGGCTCTACGACTTTACAACTGCTTGAGCACACTACTTAAACCTCTTCAAGCCTCAGTTTTTTCTTCTATACAATGAGGATTGTACTCCCACCTCATGCAGTTGTCAGGATAAAATGAGGTAGGCCTGTGCTTGGCATGCTGCAGGTACTCAAAAATGGCTCATGAATGTGATAAGAACGATACTAGAGGCAGAAATCTCCCTGCATCCCTCTCACCCCTGCCCCCTAATTCCTAGCCCACATCTATTGTAAATGACTTACCAAACGGGATGGAGCCTGGGAAGAGATCCTCCCACTTCCAATCACAAGGGATGCCAGGCCCTGCTGATTTCTCCCCTTTGGGCACTGTCCAGAGACCCCAGGAAGAAGTAGGTTCGAGTGCCTGCAGGCAGCCCTACCTCCAAGTGTTTGGGCTCTGGTGCCCCACTCTCTGAGCCCACCCAGAAAGGCTGGAGGGAGGGAAGGGAATCCCTGGGGCTCTTCACAGCCTCCAATCTCCTCCTCTCCTTCCCTTCCATCTGGATAGCAGGCTCACAGGCTGGGAGCCACATGAAATCAGAAATCCCTTTTGTTCCACAGAGACTCCCCATATTTTCCCAAGACACGAGGCCAAGAACTGCAAAGCCCAGAGTCTCAAAGGTAGCAGTTCAGGCTGCTAGAAGCATGGGATGGGCATTCAACCCCCTTCTAGCTGTCTGCTGAAGCAGGGCCTCTGGTCAGCTAGACGAGAGATCTTGGGGGACCCTCGGGTTGCAGCAGTGCTGACAAGGACTGGAAGATGGTTAGAGGAACCCACACTATACACAAGGTCACACAGGCATGTGCATATGAACTTCATGCAGTTTCTTATATTGACCCCCCTCATACATGCCCTCTCACACACACCCCAGCTTCTCACACCAGAGAACACATTTCACTCTCCCGCACTTGAAGCGGCACACACACTCCTCCCATCTGCCCAAGCTTAAGCTTGTGAGGAAGAGTAAATGGGGTCACAGGAAGTTTTGTAAAAATTCAGAGCAGAATTCAGGAAACCATCAGCTTCTTCCTGCCCATCATCAGATAAAGGATTGCTTCCAGGGGCTAGGAGAACAGCATGCTTAATAGAATAGGTCTTGAGTTGATGATTGCCCTCCTAGAGGTACAGAGACACACCCCAGAGTGTTTAGGAATAAAAAGCCCTTCTAAATATCAACATCATGCTGTCATGATGCGTGATGATGTGAGCTCACAGCAGTATCGATAATTTGGGAGATCCTGGAGAGCTGTTTCAAGGGTAGAGATGGGGGAGCATGTTGTCATGTTCCCATGACAGCCTATCTCATTGCCATAGCAACACAGCTCTGCCTCCATCCTGTGGAGTCCTGGTTTCCGTAGTGGGTGGAACACTGTGTCACTTCACTGTATGGAGACGGGTCCTACGATCCCTCTGGGAAAGAACATTTTCATCCTAGACTGTGCAGTATAGGGGTACCCCGAGGCTAAGTAGTGCTGTGTTTTCTTGTCGGCAGGAGGGTGGATTTCCTGGGGTTTTCCCACTGACGAGCTCTACTTCTTCCTACCACAATTTCTACTCCCCAGCTATTGCACCCCAAAGTAAGTCCCCATGAGGCAGGCTACGCTTTCTTGATCTGCACCTGGCTGACTCAGATGGAAACCCTGCCATGGCAGAGAGGCATGACAGGTCAGTGGGGAAGACAGGCTCTGGTATCAGGAGACCTATTAGGCTTGGAGCTCATTGCCGATGTGTCTGGAGCGAGTGGTTTATCCTTCTTGACTTTAGGGTTCTACCTGTAAAGATGGGGCTAATGCATTCCCATCACCCTGGGTAGTTATGAGGATGAAGGAAAGCAATATGTGTAAAGACCCAACCTGGCTCCCTGGAGGGAAGGGGGAAGAGTGAGTGGCTGGTCCACTGTTGATGCCCTTTGCATCCCAGACCCCAGCAGGGGTCTGACTGTGGGGCTCAGATGATATTTAAGCCTCAATGGACAGGGCAGTGATTGGCATCATCTTCCAGATCAAGCTGCCCAACTTCCGTGGGAAAGGGAAAGGTACTTAATCAGTCCATCTCCCCCATGCCTCCCTTATCCCCCAGTACTACTCAAAGTGTGGGCAGTGAGCCATGACCCTCTGCAAAATGTCACCCATCCTCAGGGAGATAAGTCTGGGCATTCTGAGGACATCTCCAGAAATTTTTATAGAAATTTGATATCGCTGAAACATTCCAGCAGCATACAGTTTGGTCTTCTCTTTTGTTGTTTTTAAATTTTTCAGATTTTCAGTGATCCATTTTAATTTTTTTTTTTAAGTACCAATCTGCAATGGATTGGAGAACTAACCGCCTGTTCCTTCATTACACCTAGTGTGAGAAGCACTGACCTTAATGACACCAGAGGCCTCTTGAAATCAGCTAACCATCCATTGAGGATGGAAGGGGAACAGCCTCATCAGAGCTGCTTGCAAAAATGAGCCGCAGACCACACGTCAGTGAGTTACGCAACATTTCTTTTATTGCCTCGGGTTGGAAGCTCCAGCGCCCCCTCCCTTAGCCCTACGTCCCCGCCCCCCGCCCCCGCCCCGCATGCTCTGACTCCTTTGGGGTCTGAAGTTCACTGCCCCGCACCTGCGCCCTCAGCCCCGCCCAGCGCTTCTGCCGTGGTTCCCTGGTGCCGCCTCCCGCTTGCCGAAGCGCAGGCCGAAGGAGTTCCAGTTGTAGTTCGGCAGGTCCTTCTCCCGCTGCACCAGCACCGCGCCCTGGGGTGCGGGGATCTGGCGGCTGTGGGGGGCGGACAGGCCCGGCTGCTGGGGGCTCCCGGAGCTCTCGGGGGGCGGGGACAGCGAGGTCCCCCGACGGCTCAGCCTGGCAGTAGCAGCTGGCTTCCTCTCGGTGCACGGCAGGCTCTGCTCCCCGGGGGCCAGGAGGCCCAGGGATTCTAGCTGCTGGCCTAGGACAGAGGGCACAGAAAGATGAGGCCGGGGTCCGGGAAAGATGGCTTTGCAACACCTCCTGTCATCCCATCCTATCCTTCTTTTCCTTCCTTGACCTTTTGGAAGCTCGGAGCTCAGTGCCATGCGAACCAGCACGATCACCTTAGCTGGGATGATTAGGCCCTAGGCGCCTCCCTCTTCCAACATAGCTTTGATTTAGAATGTTTGCCAGAATTATCTTAAATAACTCTCATATTACGTTACTTCCTTTTAGGAAACAAACAGGGTAGGGCATGGAAATAAAGAAAACCAAAGTATTTGCTGAACACCCAGCTCTGGGCCCCTTCCTGGCTGTGAGCAGCCTGGGCAGTGGGGCCATGTTAATTCATCTCTGTATCTCTCATAGTGCTTGAAACAGTGGCTTGCTCATAGTGGGGCCTCAATAAATGCCTGTTAAATACATAAAAGCTAAAAACGTGTAGTAACAGAAATCGAGAAAGTGGAGCTAAGACATTGTGGCCCCACACACCTGTGTTCCAACACTCGTCTTTGATAAGAATTGTGACCACCCACCCCCCCAACCCCGCCCAATAAGCTACATAAGGACTCAATGAGAAACAAAAATTATCTAGGTCACCTTAACTGGCTCTCTTCCTCCATCCTGGGTATAACTTCTCTCCTTCATTCTGAGGATTAACAAGGCTAATTTGGAAGGCACTTCACATGCAAGGCTCATTAAGTTCACTGTACTTTTTGGCTGTAAAATAGGGCAACTAGCTCTGTGTAGACAATAACCCCAGCCCATTGCGGCAAGAGATTAGTGGAAATGAGGCCTGGTGTGTGAATGGGTGTGAATAGATGTGCTGGGGCGGCAGTTGGCTTTGAGCCCTGCTCCTCCGTGCCCTGGCACAGTCTGGAAAAGAGGAGTGTGGACCTGGTCCAGAGTTAATGGCAGTCGCCTGCGAGGTCCCTCAGCCCTTGCCCAGGGCCTGGCTGAGGTAGGAGGAGGATGGCTTCCTCCCCAGTTGCGCACGCTAGACCAGTAGTAAATCACTGTTCAGGCTGCTGTTGGTGACCTCACCTAAAGCCTTTTGCCAAAAAGAGCCAACAACCCTATATCCCTGGGCAGTGTGGGGTTATTTTCTGGGGTAGCCTCCCTCACCCAGAAAAACGCCTGATCCCAGGACAGAAGACACGCTTGGCAAACGACACCCGGGGCCGTGTCCTCTGTGCTCTGGAAGGTCTTATGGGCATATACGATGACATCAAATGTGTAGAGGGCATGCCCCAAGTTTTATAGCTGGGGGAACTCAGGTCCAGAGAAGCTAAGTCATGGGTTCTAGTTTGCCCAGAAAGCTGACACCAGGAAGTGTGCCAAGCCACAGCTCCTGACTTGGGGACTAGTATTGTTCTAGCTTGTGCCACTCACCAGACACACTCCTGGGGAGCTCTGACACCTGCTGGGTTTCCACAGTGTTTGAGCGACTCTGGGGAAATCTCTTTACCTCTGTGGGTCTCAAATTTTCCAGCTTATCAGTTCCCCAATGAACTGGAGACAGTTCATTGTCTCCAAAAGGTTAATAGGTATCAAATATCTGCCCTTTGGTTTAGGTTTTTTTTTTTTTCCAAATTCTCCACAAAGAATCTGAGGTCACCGATAAAGCAAGGTTGCATATGAAGTTTCTTCTCAACATCGGCACAGAGAGGTTGCTGACGTAGAGCAGAGAACACAGTGTGAGGAAACCATGAAAGAGCTCAAGGGTTAATAAGCCCTGGAACCTAGGTGGGCGGACTGAGGCCATCACAGAGGCAAGGCATCCGTCACTTGCAGGGTTAACAGGACCCCCTCAATGAGTTGCATGTGTGCCAGTCTTAGATTTCCACCAAATGCAATGTTAAACTCACACCAGTCGACTAGATGGAAAATACGGGAAAGCTCATTTTGCAACAACCCACTTGCTCCCTCCCACTCCTTTCCCCAGAGGATACATACCTGTGGGTCTAGAATTCCCCACAGAGGCCACCTTTTCTAATGGCTCCCCAAAGTGGGTGGCACAGAGGAAAAGCAGTAGCTGCCAAGAAACCAGTGAGTTCATCTTGGTGAGAAGAGGCAGGTCCTAGAAGTGCCTTGAGGCTGAGACAGAGAGAGGGAACAAAGACTAGGTCAGGCACAGGATCTGGGCTGGGTGCTGAGGGCAGAGCCCAGTGCAAAAGGGACAGTCCTCCAAGAGAGGGGCAAGTTCTTGCCTTTGGAGGCTCCTGGTAGAGGGATGAGTCTAAACAAATATATCAGTGAAATGGGATTGAGACTCTTTACACAGTGTAGTTAAAGCTGAATTCATGCTAGGTGAGGGTCATCAGGGAGGGCTTCCTGGAGGAGGTGAGGACAGTAAAGTTAGGAAAAAAGGAAAGACCCAATTTGGTGGAAGGGGCAGGACTGCTTGGGTCAGAGAATGGCCAGGATTCTGAATCTCAGGGTTGCTTGAGAGGAATGTTTGAGAAAGGTGGGGTGAGATGCCATATATAGGAGTGACTGGGGAGGGGTGAAGTAGGGCAAGGACTTCAGGGCACTGAGTGGGGAACTTTGAGGTTCCAATATTCTCTCGGGAGCCTGGCAACAGGCACTTCTTCCTTCCATGGTGGGTTCTGCACAAATCCACAACTTTCTGTGTTCCACTCTCCCCATCCATACGCTTGAGTCTGACCTTGTTCTCTCCTGCTGTAAGAGAAACTTATTTCTTTTTCTTTTATAAGGAAAAAGAAAGAAAGAGGCAATCATCTTGCTCTCTCTCATAGCCCTTCACAGCCTTGAAGACGGTCATTAAATTGTCTTATTGCCTATCATTCATGGAAAAGAAAAACCTTTCCTTGATTTATCAGGTCAGTTATCTCCATAGTCTATTCTTTGTGGACTCTAAGAGGCTATGAATTGAATTGGCCTCATCATTTTGGCTGCTGAGATGGGAGCCGTGTGCCCTGATCCTCACACCATTTCCCATCACCCTGCCTTGCTCTGCCCCACCGACACCCCACATACCCCACCCTACCTCTTCCGGCTCCCAAATCTAATTTCTTTTTGAAAAAGTCACCAGACACTTTGAGACTGTCCAACAAACACGATTAAAGACAAAAGGCTGGGGAGGCAGGAGCAATGCCAGCTGAGCAAAAAGATTGTCCTGGCCTGACCCACAGCCTGGAGCCGCTCTCCCTGGGGAAGGGGGACTGGGGGATGAGAACCTTTTGTGCCCATCAGCTCCTAATGGTGGCTCAGGCCCATGCATCTCTCTGCTCTTGCACCCACACCCCCACCCCCCATTCCTCACCCAGCTCCCTGCAGGACTCAGGCATGGAGTAAAGAGTAAGAACCCTGAAATGGAATGAGGAGTACTTGAATCTTGCCCCAGCTCTGCTTTCATTCCCTGTGAAATGTGAGCAAGTCACCCCCATCTCCAGACCTCATTGGTCCATCTATAAAATAAGAACCCTGGATCAGATTGGCCACCAGCCACCTGCTCAGAAGTTTACTTATCCTTGCAGACTTTGATACTGTGACAAGTTGAAACCCAGACCACAGCTTTCTGCATTTACCTTAAGGCCCAGGGCTGGGGCACGGAGTAGAGGTAGGATTAATCCATTGGAGAGAATAGTGTAAAAGCATTTCAGACCGTGGATGCACAGGGTCTGGGTTGATTTGGAAATCACTCCTTGAGCACCGACTAGGTGCTGGTGCTGTGCTAGGTGCTAGGGGTGCACAGGTGTGCTAAGACAGAGTTGCTGCCCCCAAGATCTCAAGTCTAGCATGAGAAATTAACTCATCAGCAGATCATTTCAAAATAACACTGTAAATGACATACCGGATGCATGTGAATCCACAAGGGGATATGGGAGTCCAGGGGAACCCAACCTAGGAGGACCAGGCAGATTTTTGGCAGGGGGTGGCACTTGAGCTGTTTCTGAGCATGAATCGCTGAAAGGTTTACAGAAAGTGTTCCCAGGACGGTGCTAAGGCGCTGAAGCAAGGGCAGGGGCTGAGTGCAAAGGGAACTTCAGGCCCTCTAGCTAGACAAGAGGATGGAGCTTTGCATGGAGAGAAAGCTAGTGACAAGGCTGGGGGAAGGGGCCCTGCAGGGGCTTCATCCTGGAGGGGTCTGAGCCAGACAGGAATGTGGGTAGATGTACATTTCCGGTTCTCTGTGCGGAAGCAGGGTGGTGGGCCAGGAAGGAGGGCAGTGGGCTTGTGTGGTTGGAGGGTGGTACTCTTTCTTCCGGCTCCCCTTTCCCCCCGAGTGCCTCCTTCCCACTGTGGATGGCACTTACCATGTGCGCCATGGGACAACTCTGCCTGACCCCAGCACACACACACACACCCCCCACACCACACACATACACCACACACACCACACATGCACACACACACCACACACATATATACGCACACACCCATACACATATACACGCATACACCCATACACACACATCATACACACACACATACACCACACACACCACACACATACACCCATACACACACATACACATATGCCACACACACCACACACGCATACACACCACACACATATACACACATACACCTATACACACACATCATGCACACACACCACACACGCACACACACCACACACACATATACACACATACACCCATACACACAACATACACACACACATACACACATCCATACATACACATCATACACACACATACACCACACATACCACACATGCACACACACCACACAGATATATACCCATACACCCGTACACATACACTACACACCACAGATGCACACACACGCCACACACATATACACACATACACCCATACACGTACATCATACACACACATACACCACATACACCACACATGCGCACACACATCACACACATATACACACATACACCCATACACACATATCACACACACACACACACACACACACACACACACACACAGATTCCACTGCCCAGCCCATCGGGGCACTTAACATATATGGTAGAAATGAATTATTTGGAAAGGGGCCATGAGTGGCCGACCTGCTGTAGACAATTTTTGTGGTTCCCTCCACCCTGGGGGGTTTGTATCCAGTGAGTGACAGAAATTCCAGGCATGGTTGGAAAGCTTCTGGAGTGAAGTGGCCCCTAGTTCTTAGTGGGTAGGTAGATGCCCTTGGTTAGGCTTGTATTTGCCATCTGTAATTTGGGGGGAGCTGCTCAGAGGAGCCCCATTGCTCTCAAGAGCCCCGAGCGGTTCCCTAGGTCCATCCAAGCGTGTCTGTGGTCTCTAATTCCAGCCACAGCATTTATTTATTGCATGTATTCCTTCCACAGCAAGAGAGAGCCCTCGGGATCCCCAGAGTGTTAGCTTCACAAATAAAGTGCGACTCAGTGTATTCGCCCAGGCATCCCAGGATAATCTGGCCAGGCTGGTAAACAGGAAAGATCAGTGTCTCCCTCCCCTGCCTTTGCCTGCCTGGATGCATCTGTCCGTCTTAGAACGGATTCCCTGCTCCCCTCCAGAGCATCCCCAGGTCAGGGCAGACCCCCTTCCCAGGGGTGGACACTGCAGTGTGCCTACCTTGCCTCAGTCCTGGCCTGGGCAGGAGTCTGGCGGAGCCTCTGAGGTGACGAGACCACCTGGCTGGGTGAATGTCCAGAGGGTGGGCAGCTGGGCTCCCGGTCTCAAGAGTTCTCCCCAGCTCCCTGATCACATCCCTTTTATAAAGCCCGGGGTGACGTCTCCAAGCACAGGCCCACTCTGCCGCCCCTCCCTCCTCCTCAGACCCTCCTGAAGAGCATGGCACCTTGGGAGGCCTCTGCCTCCGGGCTCTGTGACTGGAGGCAGCCTCTCCTCCTGCCCCACCCGAGCCCTCCGAGGCGGGACTTTCTCCTTCTTACCGGCTCTTTCCATCCTCCACACCCTCTTCCCACCCAGAGGACCCATCCTGCCCCCAAACAACGTGGAAATGGGCTATCTGAGGAGGGTGGGGAGAAGTGTCAGTGTGAAATGTCTTGTTTCCTCTCCGAAGAGCCACAGACACACCTAGTCTGAATTAGACGTAGAAAACGACAGGAAGAGGGGAGGAGAAGGGCACAGGCTGACCCAGGGGCTCCTCACATCCCATGCTCCCAGCTCTGAGGGAAAGCCAGGTCAGCGTGGGTCTCCAGGCGGCTCCTAGACTGCGCCCTGTGACTGGCACAGGGTGGTGGTGGCAGAGATTCTCTCCTTTTTCCTTCCTTCCTGCTTCCCTTCTTTCCTCGGTCACTGAGCGCTTCCTCAGCGCAGGGTTTTGAGGTGAATAGGCTATGGACTGGTCAGAGACCTTAGGTAAGCAACCAGCTATGAGCAAGGAGGACGAAATGGGAGCTGCAGAAGGTGGATGCACCTGGGAAGTGCCAGGGGTGCAGAGAGGGGACTTCCAGGTGGCAGCACATCCAGACAGCCTGCTTGGGGGCCCCACCTTCTTGTCTCGTGGCACCCACCACCATACTATTTTGTGACTGCTCAGGTACAGCACTTTGAGGACAGGGACAGGCCCCCTTCCCCCTGTACCCTTGGCACCCACTCCATTGCTGGGCACATACAGAGAGGGCCCTCAATAGATATTTGCTAACTGCATGCATCGCAAGTGACTTTTGTCTCTTTCTTGAGCCTGCAATAACTCTCTATACCCTTGGACAAGGGGCTCTCCAGGGCAGAGACTGTTTCTTCTATCAGGCTGGGAGTCTCTGAAGGCAGGGGCTATGTCTCTACCCTCAGACAGGACGCTCTCCCAGCACAAGCTCAACCTGGTCGTCCCCTAATGCTGGAGAAGCATGCCGGCAGTCTGCAGGTTAGCACCCCTCACTTGTCTGATGCTTACTGTTAACAGGGGATTGCAAACATATTATTATCACACCCATTAGGGCTGTTAAACACCAGGACAGAAATGATAGCCTATGAGGACAGCACTGACCCTCATAGACCAAAACTTCGCTGTGGGGATGATGTGTACGTTGGCCTGTCCTGAAGCAGGAGGTGGTCTTAATGGGCTGAAGACGCTAACTTTTTTTTTTTTGAGACGGAGTCTGGCTTTGTCACCCAGGCTGGAATCCAGTGGTGCGATCTCAGCTCACTGCAACCTCCGCCTCCTGGGTTCAAGCGATCCTCCTGCCTCAGCCTTTTGAGTAGCTGGAACTACAGGCACCTGCCACCACGCCCCGCTAATTTTTGTATTTTTAGTAGAGACGGGGTTTCACCATGTTGGCCAGGCTGGTCTCGAAGTTCTGACCTCAGGTGATCTGCCCACCTCAGCCTCCCAAAGTGCTGGGATTATAGGTGTGAGCCACCGCGCCCGGCCAAAGACGCCAACTCTGAGCCTTAGACACACGCACAACTTGGGAATTTAATCTTCACTTTTCCTCCCATAAATATAGAGTGAGGGTGTGATACCAGCCCCAGCCCAGTCTCCTTGGGGTCTGCATCTCTGCTTCCTGGCAGCCTCTTGAGTCGACTTGGGGATTTGACGTCAGTTGCTCAGCTCCATTCCTTCCTTCTGGACTTGGGGAGGTCCGGATATGTCGGGGAGTGAGTCAGTGCAGGGGACTGAGGGGGTGGTTCCCATTCTCCCTCTAGCCCCCTCAACCAATGATCCAAGTTCAAGGAGCTCATCTCTGTTTTTCAGACCATCGAGCTAGTGCCTTGAAGTCTCCGGAACAGCTGTGGGAGCCAAGAATCATTACTCCACACAAAGGGTAGAGAGCAGATGCAATATCTAGTTATTACAGAGCTGGCCTTGAGAGCCAGGAGCTGTGCCAGGCGCAGATACGAGAGGGGCTGTAGGGGCTGTGTCCAGCTGGCGGTTGTGGTGGGGTGCTGGCTGTAGGGTCTCCCTGGGCTCCTCAGAGAGCTCACATTCTGCCAGGTGCTTCAGAGAAAGGGATAAGGAGGGGCAGGGGCTGGATACCAGTGGCTGTGCCTATCCCCAGGAGAGGACAAAATCTGCCACCTGCAGGACAGCTTTTCCTGCTGTCATCAGCTGTCATACATTCTCTCCATGCCTGGGGCCCGCACTTAGCCAGATCCCCAGAAATCTCAGGCATGTCCTGGCTGAGTCACCTAGAGTCTCTGCGTCTTCATTTCTTTGGCTGTAAACAGGAAGCTATTCATAGCTACCTGCCTCTACAGCCACACTCAGCTACAACTGCGTCTGGATCCCCTCTCCTCATGGGCTCTTGTCAAATGGAGAAGGTGCGGGGGGAAGAGGAGCCTAAAGCACCAAACCTGGGCTAGGGGGTCTGAGGGGAGACAGGGGAGAGGCCACTGCCCCTGGGGCAGCAGTTTTACCAGCTCCCCTCCGTGTGCTCCCCCTCACTCCCCAGGGTACGCCCGCAGGGCTGCAGGCATCATCTGCTTACCGCACCCAGGAAGGGGATGTTGCAGACATTGCCCAGGAAGCCGAAGGCGACAGGGAAAAAGCCCCTAGGAGCAGAGGGGAGAAGGGAGGAGTCAGTGATGGCCCAGGAAGAGAGGATAGAGGGCACGAGGCTGAGGTCCACTGAAAGGTTCAAGCTCTGGCTTCCACACACCAGGGACAGGCTTGATTCTGCACTCCTGTGTTCCGAGAGACAGTCGAGTGACATGATTAAGAATGAAGGCCCCAGGGTCACACTCCTTGGGTTCACTTCTTGGCTCTACCACTTACTGGCACCATATACACTTGGGCAAATTCCTTAACTTCTCTGAATCTCAATTTCCAGCCATAAAATGTGGCTAACAATAACAGTATCTACATCATAAGGCCACGTACAAAGAAATGCTCAGGAAGTGCTTATTTTTATTATTGTTACTCTCATGATTATGACTCTTCTGGCCTAAAGCTTTCTTCTCTTCCTGAGATCCACCTGCCCCGGGTGTCCTGGGCCCTGGGCGTCGGGGGCTGTTGGAAGCCATGCTCACCGTTACACTCCCTGGTGCCCTGGCTCCCCCAGGCACACAGCCACCCCTGCCTTTGGCAACCCTGCTCTCATCAAAGATACC
This sequence comes from Homo sapiens, assembly GCF_000001405.40. NCBI lineage: Eukaryota > Metazoa > Chordata > Mammalia > Primates > Hominidae > Homo > Homo sapiens. Next base: position 204,199,817 of record NC_000001.11, read on the forward strand.
CTGCCAAGGCCTGACTGCAGACACATGCGTGACCCCTCACAGGGCTTGGAGGTGCCAAGGCTGGCATGGGAAGGGATCCCGGTGTGTGGCGGATGGGAAGGGAGATTTGAAATATGGATTCTGGCTGAGCCACTTCCTTACCGTGGGCCTCAATTTTCCAAGGTTTCACTGCACTCTGAGGTCCCTGATAGCTGTAATTTGTTTGCCTCCTGTGTTACTGCACAGTGTCTTTGTCAAGGCTGACTTTCAGTTTGAACTATTGAATTTGCTGCTGTCCCACTCCACTTTCTAAGCCCTCCATAAATGCTAACTGTTGTCAGAATTTATTTATGGGTCTTCCCTACTAAATTGTAAATTCCTTAGGAACTTTCTCCTCATTCAGTGCCACATCCTCACACCTGGCCCTGTATTTGGCATGCAGTAGGTGCTTATTATATATTTGACAATTTGAATAAGCGACTGTTTGAAAATGACATATATGTGTATATATATATATATATATATGTTTTTGTTTTTTTTTTTTTGAGAGAGAGAGTCTCGGTCTGTCACCCAGGCTGGAGGCAGTGGTGTGATCTTGTCTCACTGCAACCTTCGCCCCCTGCGTTTAAGCAATTCTTGTGTCTCAGCCTCCCGAGTAGCTGGGATTACAGGCACTTGCCACCAAGCCTGGCTAATTTTTTTTTGTATTTTTAGTAGAAACAGGGTTTCACTATGTTGGCTAGTCTGTTCTCGAACTCCTGACCTCAAGTGATCCGCCTGCCTCGGCCTCCCAAAGTGCTGGGATTATAGGTGTGAGCCACTGCACCCAGCCATAAAATGACATATTTGAATATGGAATAAATAGATGGCAGGTATGCATGAGAAACTTTAAAGCCACACTTCCCAAAGTCTCTGAGGCCTAGGCCATTCAGGCTAATCAGGGGGTTTCAGGGCTGCCTTCAGCAAACGGGGGCTCCTGTGAGAACCTGGGGATTCCTGAGCCCCACACCTTTCCATGATTGCAGAAGCCATCATTCTTCCAGGGTCCATTGTCCCAATCCCACCCCTATTCTCTCCACACCACCGTGTAGACATATGAAGTCTTCCTTCCCACCCCCACTTTCTCTGAGACTCCTTCCTTCCTTTTCCTTCAGTGCCCTCCAGTCTTCTCTTAGACCCTACCCATCCCTCAAGGCTTCTCTCAAGTCCTGCTTCCTCTATGACACTACCCTGGGCTCCCCTCTAAGTGCCTACAGGCCTGACAGTGGCCACACATCATGGCTGAGTTCCACCCTGCCTTTTCCCAGGCCCAGGGCTGACACAGGCCTGGCCAGGGGATGACACAGGGGTCAGGAGCCAGAGCTCCCTGGGTTAAGGGCGACCTTTTTCACATACTAGTTTGAGACTTTGGGCCGGGGGCAACTTCTCTGAGTGTTGGTTTCCTTATCTATGAAGTAGAGGATAATCCTATAGTGGGTTGTTGTGATAAAATAAGATGATGATCATGAGTGTGCCTGGAACATGTTAGCTCACTGCCCTTCCTCTCCGGCTGGATCACTGAGATTTGAGGGCAGGCCTCGTGTCTCTTCCCTGCTCACAGGCACAGTGCTGGGGGCACAGTGCTGGGAACACAGTCGGCACTCTATCAGTATTTGTTGATGGATGGGCTAATCCCTCCAAAGTACCCTTCAGCCTACTTTAGGGGGCCTTTCCAAGGTGTCCATGGTTCTCATCTCTTGCAGGATAAAGTCCCAGCTTCTGCACTCCCTGCTGGGGTGATCTCAGCCACTCAGACACTTTGGTGGGTCTGTCCAGGGTTATAGGGATTTGCACTCACTTAAAGAGGCTGAAGAATCCGTAGGTTTCCAGGAACATGCCGAGGAGGGGCCAGCGTAGGAGCACGATAACCACACCCCCCAGGAGGAAGCTGGTTCCCTTGAGTTTGTGCCGTTGGAAGAAGAACCAAAAGGTCTTCCTCAGGCCAATGATGAGGGACAGGCCCGTCAGGAACAGCAGCTGTAGGGGAGGGAGGGGAGCATGAAGCAAACCCACCAGCCCCCTGAGGAGTGAGGGACTTAGGCCTGGAGCCAGGCGGTGGGCTGGGACAGGATGTGCTAACTGTTCAAGACCATCTGAGCGAGGGCCATCCAGCAGTGTGGCAGAATCCCAGAGCCTTGATAAGTCTTGCTGGCTGGGAACAGGACTGCGCAGAGGCAGGGGGATGGATGAGAAACCTTTGACGGTTTCTAGTTGCCTACCCAATTCCCTGGAGCCCAAGCATTTTTCATATGGGACTTGGTTTCTCACCATACCATCTGGGGAAGATGGAATCGGGAGGGATTTTTATTCCAAAGAAGTGAAGATTGAGGCCTAAGTAGGTTAGGCAGCCATACTGAAAGTCACACAGAACCTTCAGAGGCTCCACTGCCTACAGAATAACCCTCCAGTCCCTCCCCTGGATGCCCTATCACCGTCTTCAGCTTGGCTCCTAATGAATCCCTTAAGAGTGCCCAGGCTCTCATCAAATTGAACTCTCTGGTTTTCTTCCAGCATATCCCATGCTTCCCTGCTCCTTCCCCACACCTTTTCTCCTGCTGTTCCAATCCCCCTGGAAGTGCTTTATTCACCTCCACACCCATTTCCTTTCCAAATTCCTCTCCACCATTCTCCAATTCAGTGTGCCCTCTTTCCACTAAGCCCCTTGTTTCATACTAAATGTGTTTACCATGGCCCCTGCCTTCCTCCCAGCCATGTATGTCATGTTATATCTCTAGCCCTAGAGTGGGATTCAGATGGCAGGGACAGTGTCTGAGTCCTCTTAGAACCCCCAGGGTCTCGCCCAGAGCTCGGTGTGAGAATCCAGGTCCTCAGATTCTTGGTGCCAGCGGGCTCTGCGTCCATTTCCTGTGCCCTCCTCTGCCCAGGCTTGATGATGTCTGACCCCTGGATAGGCATGGTCTGAATAAACTTGGGATTTACTTAAGGGATTTATTTAAAGACTTAAATAAACTGTAAGTCTTTATTGCCAGGACTATCCTGGCAATAGAGACTTCAGAAAGGTTGGGGCAGGGGAGTGGGGACACAGGGCTGGGAGACTCACGTTTCCAAAGGCCAGGAGCACGGAATCAAAGTACAGGAGTGTTCCAAAGAGGATGAAGAAGATGCCGAAACCGGTGATCCCCACACCAATCTCTGCAATGGGCAAGGAGGTGGTGGAGGAAAGGGCTTTGGGGAGCAGGTGGGGACCCTGAAACTTCCCCCATTGCCACAGGACAGGTGCCCTCTATGGGGGTGACTCCACTTCCATCCAGGAATCTCAGCTTTCATGCTCTCAGGGGATGGTGGGATGGGAAGGGGAAGGTAGGATGGCATGAAGCTTTGTCTGGCACCTGGGAACTGTGCTGTCACTTCTGTACACAGTGGCATGCTGTCCTCACTGCAGCCCTGTGTGGAAGCTGGTGCTGCCCTGACCACTTTATACTCTCAGCCTCCTCTTGTCCTCAAAAGCCACATTATCCACATCAGTATCAAGGCTGAACATAGCATCTGCTGCCTCTGCTCCTGCCTTGTGCAACTGAGAACCACTGGAGCCCAGCCCACACTGCGCAGAAGGGAGCCACTGAAAACTCAGGACCACCAGCTCCAAAGAGCCTCAGAACCACCCAGCTCTCCTGGTCCTTACTCAAGAGGCTGGCCCGCCTGAGCAACTCTCCACACTGCCTCCTTCCTCCTCAGAATTGCCCTGTCTCCACTCTCAGGTGGTGACATTTCCCACTGGATTGGGAAAACAGAAGTCATCAGTTAGGAATGCATTCCTCTTCTCAGCTGGGACCTATATCCAAGACCCAAGCCTGCACCTGCTCCCATTGTCCTCCCTCCCTCCTGCAGCAGGCACCTTGCGGGCCCCCCACACACTCTTCGGCCAACTCTCATTTCAGCCCAGTGGCTTTGGGCAGTTCTGCCGAGGTTGGACCCACACTGACAATGAGCCCCCATTCCCAAGGTTTGACAGTGAGCCCCCATTCCCAAGGTTTGACAGTAAGCCCCCATTCCCAAGGTTTGTAAGTGTCTCAGGGCATTCTTTGAAGCTGCAGGAGTTCACTCAGAGCCAGCAAGCGTAGCCTAGAAGTGCAGGACATGAAGGCCCCCTCGTTTGGTCAAGGGCTACATTTTTGACATTTTGATAAACATATTTCAGATCGCTCCCCTCAAGACGATTTGTACAATAACCGGATATATAGTTCCTTTTTTCCTTAACCCTCTCCAGCACTCAGAATTGTTCATTTTACTTATCTTTGCCACTATGATAGTCAATAAATAAAAATTCATTCTGTTGCTTTGTTTTTAAATTGTTACCTTTTTAAGTTTTAAATTGTGGCAACGTGCACATAAAATGAGACTTACCATCTAACCATTTAAAAATGTACAGTTCAGTGGTATTAAGCGCATCTCCTGAATTCTTCGTCTTGCAAAGCTGAAACTCTACACCCATTAAACAGTAGCTCCCCATTCCCCTCCCACCAGCCTCCAACAACCACCATTTTACTTTCTCTATGAATTTTTGACTACTCTGGGAACCTCCTATAAGTGGAATCATACAATATTTGTCTTTTTGTGACTGTCTTATTTCACTTATCATAACGTTCTCAAGGTTCCTTCATGTTGTAGCATGTGTCTGAATTTTCTTCCTTTTTAAAACAGAATAATAGTCCATTGCTATCTGTACCCTGCATTTTGTTGATCCATTCATCTGTTGATGGACATCTGGGTGGCTTCCATCCATCTCTTACCTATTGTAAATAGTGTTACCATAAATATGAGCATAAGAAAATATCTCTTCAAGACACTGCTTCCGATCCTTTCAGGTATATACCCCACAAAGTGGAATTAACGGAATTATACTGGATCACATGGTAATTCTATTTTTAATTCTTTGAGGAATTGCCATTTTGTTTTCCATTGTGACTGCACCATTTAACATTCCCAGCAACAGTACACAAGAGTTCTAATTTCTCCACATCTTGCCAATACTTTATCTGTTTTGTTTTGTTTTGATAGCAGCCATGCTAATGGGTATAAGGTAGTATACATTGTGGTTTTGACTTACATTTCCCTAATGATTAATGATTAATGATCTTTTCATGTGCTTGTTAGCTATGTGTATATCTTCTTTGGAGAATTGTCTAGTTAAGTCCTTTGCCTATTTTTTAAACAGGTTGTTCTTTTTGTTGTTGAGTTGTAGGAGTTCTTTATATATTTTGGATATTAACTATGTAGCGTATGATTTGCAAATATTTCCTCCCACTCTGTAGGTTACCTTTCAGTCTGTTGACTGTGTCCTTTGATGCGGTGAAGTTTTAAATTTTGATGTAGTCTGATTGATGTCTTTTTTTTCTTTTGTTGTCTGTGCTTTTCATGTCATAACCTAGAAATCATTATCAAATCCAGTGCTGTAATGCTTTCCCCTATTTTTTATTCTAAGAGTTTTATAGTTTTAGCTCTTATTTTTAGGGCTTTGATCTGCTTTGAGTTACTTTTTGCAGATAGTATAAGGTAAGGATCCACCTGCATCTTTTGCATGTGGATATCCAGTTTTCCCAGCACTATCTGTTGGAAAGACTGTTCTTTCCCCATTTCATGGTCTTGATGCCCTCGTCAAAAATTTTACTGGACTTGTTAGAATCAGTTCTCATAACCTCTATGAAATTGGTATTATTATTATGCTTTTGCAGATAGTTGTTAAAAGTGAGGGGAAAAATTATTCTGGTGTTTAGAGGCAGAATTGTAAAAACAAAAACAAAATTATCAAGACTAGATTTACTGGCTGAGTTTTATTTACAACTGAAAGAAAATGAAACAACATAATCATCTTCTGGGTAGTTAATCCATCATCTGTTGCTATGCAGATTTTAAGAGGATTAGGATCAATTCCAATACAGAAAAAAGGTCAAAGAGCTTCTTTAAAAGAATCATCAAAAATACAGCAATGAAGCCAGGTGCTCAATGGCTCACACCTGTAATCCCAGCACTTTGGGAGGCTGATGTGGGTGGATCACTTGAAGTCAGGAGTTCAAGGCCAGCCTGGCCAACATGGTGAAACCCCGTCTCTACTAAAAATACAAAAATTAGCTGGACATGGTGGCATGCGTCTCTAGTCCCAGCTACGTGGGAGGCTGAGGCAGGAGAATTGCTTGAACCCGGGAGGTGGAGGTTGCAGTGAGCCGAGATTATGCCACTGCACTCCAGCCTGGGTAACAAGAGCAAAACTCCATCTCAAAAAAAAAGAAAACAGAAAAATACAGTGATAAGATCTAGCATTCAAATTATAGACTGAAACCTTGCTCAACTCATAGTCTGGTATCATGCCAGTCTTACTGGATCTCACTTTTGGCAGAAGCTGGATTTTGTTGGGACCCAGTGTAACATAATTTCTCTCAACATATCACCCAGCTGCCCAGAATCCATTTTCTACTAAAAGCTGATTCCTTGTGTTCCTGACAAGCCTCGTGATCTATTTGGGCTTGTTTCCTACTTCTACCTCCTCCTGCTGGCCTGAATTAAATCTCTTAGAAGCTGGGACAGCTCAGCAGAATATCACCCCCATGGGTCATGATGAAGGTTGTGTTTTGTCAACATTTCCATCCTCAGAGACAACACATTGAGAATCTAGAGTTACATCTACCTGAATTACCAAGATAATTTCGTGTAGGTCAGAATATTGTGGAGGAAGACCACAGTCATCTTTCTTTAACCCAAATGATAAAAGTGTTTTAGGTTTTTATGCTTGTTATAAAATATCTGTTGTTGGCTTATGCCTGCCATAAAAACATCTGTCATTGATTTCAGCTCTGACTATACACCCTTTCCTCCCCCTCAGTAGGTGTATTTGTGTGGAAACACGATGTGCACATTTTACGGGGTTTTCATTTCGTTTTGTTGAACTTTCTATATGTTCATCCTGCACACACTTAAGAACAGCCTCATACTCATTTTGTGGAAACAGCGTAAGTTTCTCACATTCACACATGATGTCCATTCTCCTGTTTATTCCTTCTTCTTCTGCAGCAGTGATTTGCTGGCTGCCATAGTTATCCCTCCTCCACCTGTTCTACACTCTTCTTTAAGGGCAGATGCAATTCCAGGACTCTCCTGTGATGGGGGCAGCCTTCTTTATGGGCCACACTTAGTGCTCTCAGTGCTCAGTGGGACACGAAACCCCACAGAAAAGGGTCAGAAACTCTGTTTCTCACACACAAGCTTCAGACCCGCCTTTGCCTCTTGCTTCTGGAGTAGCTTAGCTATTTTAGTCAAGTTATCCAGCCAGAGGTTACTCCTAAAGTTCTTTTCAGGCAGCAACCATGGCAGAAAGAGTGGAGGGGTGGGGATGTCATACAGATGCCCCCAGGAGTGACAGGTGTGCCTGCCCGGCACGGTCCCCGTGATCCAGACAGATTGGGCAGCGCGCCCTCTGCTGGAGGCGGCCAGGGCTGTCACGCCTACACCCAGCCGAAAAAAGCTGGGAGGCCAAGGTAACTTCAGGGAGGCCCGGCTCTCCAGGCGCCACCTAGAAGTGGAGACCTCCCCAGACCTCAGAGACCAGCTTTAGATCTCCCTGGCAAGGTACACTGATGGCTGCACTGGTGCCCTTGTTTAGCTCCTTGCTCTGCAACTCCCGAGTTGCTGCCAAGAAGAGCCCATGGCCACCCGATACGGACAAGCCAGGCTTCCCTGACTCCCCATTTTGTGGCTCACTTTAAGAAAAGCCAGGTTCAATGTCTTTCTTGCTCCAGAAATCAGCTACAGCTCCAAGAAAACAATATCTCATGGAGCAGGCAGATGAGTCCTTCTGGCCTCAGGCACGCAGTGAGTCTCAGAACATCATCGTCTTTTTTCCCCCTTTTCCTTTTCTTAAAGCAATCACACATGTACAGGAAACTTGCAAGTACAGTACAAAGAATATTTTTCTTGAACCATTTGAAAGTAGTTGCCACCTCATACCTCATCACCCCTGAATGCTCTGGTGTGGTTTTTAAAACTCCTGGACACTAAGGACATGAATAGACAATTCTCAAAAGAAGATATACAAACAGCCAACAAACATGAAAAAATGCCCAACATCACTAATGATCAGGGAAGTGCAAATCAAAACCACAATGTGATACCACCTTACTCCTGCAAGAATGGCCATAATCAAAAAACAAACAAACAAAAATAAATGTTGGCGTGGATGTGGTGAACAGGGAACACTTCTACACTGCTGGTGGGAATGTAAACTAGAATAGCCACTATGGAAAACAGTGTGGAGATTCCTTAAAGAACTAAAAGTAGAACTACCATTTCATCCAGCAATCCCACTACTGGGTATCTCCCCGGAGGAAAATAAATCATTATACGGAAAAGATACTTGCACATGCCTGTTTCTAGCAGCACAGTTTGGAATTGCAAAAATATGAAACCAGCCCAAATGCCCATTAGTCAATGAGTGTATAAATAAATTGTGATGTGTATATATATACACACACATATACATATATATGTATACATATATACACACATGTATGTATATATGTGTGTATCTATACACATATACACACATATGTATACATATATGTATATATGTATACATATGTGTATATGTATACATATGTGTGTATATATGTATACTTGTGTGTGTGTGTGTGTATATATATATATATATATATATATAAAAAATGAACTACTACTCAGTCACAAAAAGGAATGAAATAATGGCATTCGCAGCAACCTGGATGGAATTGGAGATCATTATTCTAAGTGAAGTGACTCCGGAATGGAAAAGCAAACATCATATGTTTTCACTCACAAGTGGGAGCTAAGCAATGAGGATGCAAAGGCATAAGAATGATACAATAGACTTTGGGGACTCATGGGAAAGGGTAGGAGGGGCTGAAGGATACAAGACTACACATTGGGTACAATGTACACTGCTCGGGTGATGGGTGCACCAAAATCTCAGAAATCACACTAAAGAACTTATTCATGTAACCAACCACCTGTTCCCCAAAAACCTATTGAAATAAACAAGCAAACAAAAAATTCTCCTAAACAGCCAACATACAGCCATCAAAATTGGGACACTAACATTGATATGTGACTATCCTCCAACCCTCAGACTCCATTTAAGTTTCATCAGTTACTCCAGTAGCATCATTTATAGCAAAATAATCCAGTTCATCATTCTGTGTGGTATTTAATGATCATGTCTCTTTAAACTCTTCTGTCTGGAACAGCTCCTTGGTCTTTCCTTGGCATGACCTTGACACTTTTGAAGATTCAGGCCACTTATTCTGTAGCCATCCCTCCATTTGGGTTTGTCGGATGTTTCCTCACGACTAGCTTCAGGTTATGCATCTTAGGCAGAAATAGCACAAGATGTGATGCTGTATTTTTCTCACTGCATCCTGGTAGGTGGTGCAAGATGTCAATTTGCCCCATAGCTGATAATGTTTCTTTATTCTTAAGGCAGTATCTGCCAGGCCCCTCACCACCCCATCCCTGACCCTGCAGGGGATGCTTTGCCTATGATACTTTGTACCAGGCCACCCCTAGTGTGAACACCCTTCTCACCCTGCTGGGGTTCTAACACCCCACTCTGGGCACCGCCTTCTCTGTGTTAAACCTAATGGCTTTAAGACTGAATTGTTCAGGAAGAGGAAGGAGGGAAATAAGGAGAGAAAGAGCCTCATTCACTTTTTAAAATTAGCAATAGTGATTGATAGTGTAATGAACATACTGGGCCAGGCACAGTCTAAGCACATATATGCTTTAAGTATATTAACACATTTAATTTTCATAACTACCTGTGACATAGGTACTACTATTAGCACCATTTCACAAACAAAACTGAAACACAGAGGTTAAGTCACTTGCCTGGGGATACACAGCAGCTGGCAGAAGCAGGATTTGAACTTAGTCTTGAGCTCCAAACAGTGCCTTTTGGGCAGGCACGGTGGTTTACACCTATAATCCCAACACTTTGGGACGCCGAGGTGGGTGGATCATCACCTGAGGTCAGGAGTTCGAGACCAGCCTGGCCAACATGATGAAACCCCGTCTCTACTAAAAATACAAAAAATTAGCCGGTGAGGTGGCGGGCACTTGTAATCCCAGCTACTTGGGAGGCTGAGGCAGGAGAATCGCTTGAACCCGGGAGGCAGAGGTTGCAGTGAGCCAAGATCATGCCATTGCACTCTAGCCTGGGCAACAAGAGTGAAACTCCATCTCAAAAACCAAAAACAAAACAAAACAAAAAATAAAAAGTGCCTTTAACCAACCCAGTCCAGTCCACTTCTGCAGGCAATGCTCTTGCCTTGGCCATTAATGACCTTCATGTTACCAGATCCAATGGGCAGGTGTGAACCATCATCTGTTAGAACTGACCACTGCCGTGTTGAAACAGCCTTTCTCTTGGTTTGTGCACAACACGTTCTTGATTTTCTTCCTACTGCTCTAACTGCCCTTTCTCTGTCTCCTCTGCCAGCTCCTACTTCTCTCTCTTCTTCTTGGGATTTGAATTGCACAGGGCTTGTGCCCAAGCTCACTTCTCTTCTCATTCTATTTCCACATGTATTCCCATGTGTTTATTTTTGTTTTTAATTTTGTCTTAAAGCTGGGATCTCGCTCTGTTGCCTAGGCTGGAGTGCAATGGCACAATCATAGCTCACTGCAGCCTTGAACTCCTGGGCTCAAGGGATCCTTCTACCTCAGTCTCCTGAGTAGCTGGGACTACAGGCACTTGGCCACCATGCCCAGCTAATTTTTTAAAATTGGTTTAAATTTTTTTGTTGTTGAGACAGGGGTTTTGCAATGTGCTCAGGCTGGTCTTGAACTCCTGGCCTCAAGCGATCCTCCCAAAGTGCTGAGATTACAGGCATGAGCCACCACACCCAGCCTCTCACGTCTTCAAACCTCCCTTGTATGCTGATGACACTGATGTCTCTCTTTCTAGTCCATGCCTCTCTTTGGGCTTTGAAACTCATATCTAGCTGCTTACTTGGCATATCTGCCTGGTTTTCTCTCAGCCATCTTGAACTGGGCTAATCTTCAATCCCAAACTGGTCTATTTATCTTCCCTCCTTCAACTTGTGCCTCCCTTGGTTGTCCTCAAATGAGTAAACATGTCACCACCGCCCACCCCACCACTTAACGCAGAAGCCCACCCCTCCCCCATGAAATCCACAGCTAAGTTTTCTTTTCTTCTTCCAAGATACATGTTGAAAGCTGTCCATTTCTCTCCATTCTTAACACCTAATTCCCGGCCACGATCATCTCTTTCCTGGACGTATGCAGCAGCCCCCATTTGGCCTCCTGCTTTATTCCTGCACCCTCCCAGTCCTTCTCCACACGGCGCTCAAAGGTCTTGCAAAACATACAACCTGATCATGTTAGCATACTGCCTAGACTCCTTCACGGCTGCCCACTGAGATTAGACTGCAGCAGAGCCTTCTCATCCACACCACAGCTCACAGGCCCTGCCTGGTGGGGCCCAGGCCTGCCTGCCCACCTCATCTCCTGCCACTGTCCCTATTGCCTGCCATGCTCCAACCACACTGTTCTCCATGGCTTCCATGTGAGCCCTCTTGACTCAGGGCCTTCGTACATGCAGTTTCCTGGTCTGCAACACCCTGCCTCTCACTTGTTACTTGACAATGCATCCTCATCATTCAGGTCTCAGCTGAAATGTCAGTTGCTCAGGGAAAGCTGGTCCACTCTCTTCCCTGACCTAAATCCCTCATTTCTCTCTCTCACAGGACTTGCTTATCATATTTGGTAAGAGTATATTACTTGCAGGCTAATTGGTTTAACAAAGTGTCAGCGTGCCACTGGGTTGAGGACCCAACCCACCTCTCTCTATATTTTTATTCGCCAGGTCCATGATTCTCAACTGGGCTGAGGGGATTGTGGGTGGGGAAGCGGGGTGCGGGATGGAAATTTGTTTCCCAGGGGACATCTGGCAATGTTTGAAGACATTTTTTATTGTCACAACTTGGAGTGGGGGTGCTACTGGCATGTAGTGGATAGAGGCCAGGGATGCTGCTGATATCCTATAATGTACAGGACAGGCCCCCACAACAAAGAATTATCCTGCCCCAAAATGTCAATAGTGGGGAGGTGAGAAACTGTGCCTGCCCTCGGTGATCTCATGGATGCTCATAGTCCTAAAAACCATGTATATGCAGATTATTCCCACATTTCTGTCTCCAGCCCAGGCCTCTACCTGGAACTCCAGACTCACATACCCAACCACCTACCTGACATCTCACCCGGATGTCTAACAGCACAAACAGACTCAACACATCTAAAGCCCAATTCCTGCTTCCCCCCACTCAACCCTTCCCATTGCACAGGCTAAAAAATATACAAGGCATTCTTGACTCCTCTTTCTCTCACACCCTATGTCCAAACCGTCAGCAAATCCTCAACGCTTTCCTCAAGGCAGATCCAGCATGGACCACGCCCCGCTAATCTCCTGCTAACACCTTGGTCTCCACCTTCACACACTCAGGACTGGCTTCCCTGGCTGGGCGCGGTGGCTCACGCCTGTAATCCCAGCACTTTGGGAGGCTCAGGCAGGTGGATCACTTGAGAAGTCAGGAGTTCGAGACCAACCTGGTAAACGTGGAGAAACCCCATCTCTACTAAAAATACAAAAATTAGCCAGGTGTGGTGGTGGGTGCCCGTAACCCCAGCTACTTAGGAGGCTGAGGCAGGAGAATCGCTTGAACCCAGGAGGTGGAGGTTGCAGTGAGCAGAGATCATGCCACTGTACTCCAACCTGAGCGACAGAGTGAGACTCTGTCTCAAAAAAAAAAAAAAAAAAAAAGAACTGGCTTCCCTGCTGCTGCCTTCATACCTCCACAGTCTATTCTCAACCCAGCACCCAGAATGATCTTTTAAACATAGAAATAGAACATATCACACCATAGCACAAAACCAAGGTCATTACCATGGTCTATAAGTCTCCAGTGTCCTGACCCCTCAGTGACATCCCTGACCTAAACTCCTATGATTCTCCCCTCACCTCACTTTGCTCCAGGTATACCCACCTCCTTGTTGTTCTTCAAACACACCAAGTATGCTAATGCCTCAGGGCCTTTGCACTGCCTGTCCCTGCTTCCTGAACATTTCCCCTCCAGAGAGCTGCGTGGCTTTGCTTCCTCACTTCCTATAGATCTCTGAAAAAAGATCTGAATAAAGGCTCACCTTCTCAGTGAGGCTTCCCTGACCACTCTATATAAAATAGCGACCCCTCCTACCTCGAACTCCATAGCCTCCTCTTGTTTTATTTTCATCTGGAGGACTTATCATCTTCTGATATACTATATACTTCTTTCTGTTAATTACCTGTCTCCCCTCTCTAGAATGTAAGCAGGGAGTCAGTTTCATTTAATGTTGGACACTCTATATCCAACACAGTGCTTGGCACACAGCAGAGACAAATCTGTTGAGTGAACAAAAGAATGTTGTCACCAATTCTCAGATGAAAAACCAAGGCTCAGAGGCTTTAAGTAACTCACCCAAATGAAGCCCACAGAGCCACGGTTCTTCCCATGGCCCCAGACTTGTTCCAAGACCTCCTCCCTACCTCTTCCCCCAAAAGAAGGGGAAGGATGTTTAGGAGTGAGGGTATGGTGGTTTGGTCAGGGGAGTGGAGTTTAGTTTTTTATAAGAAGCCCCCAGGGCCACAGGAGACCTTGATGGTGTGGGGAAAGATGTCTGAATGGGCAGAGGCCTCCTGAGTCCACCTTTGTGGCAACCCAGTTCTAAGAACCCGGGATGGGAAAGGGGTCAGTGTGAATGGGGAACCTGCCAGGCCCCCTGGGCACCAGCCTCTAGCTACCTGTGGGCCCTGAGCAACTCCCACCCGCTGGAGGGTAGGGAGCCACACCCCACCCTGCCTGCTGCCCCAGGGTGCCAGCACAGCATCTCCCAGCCCCTGGCTCCAGAGGTCACGCTTGTAGTGACAGAGAGCCCAGCTGGGAGAGAGAGCCAGCCGGCAGGGAGCCTGGCCTGGATAGCCCATTGCAGCCCCGCTCATCCCACTTACTCTGCCATTCGGTGATGGAGATCATGCCGCACTCAGCCTGGGGGGCTTTCCGGGTGGAAGCGGGCAAGTGGAGCGTGGCCCAGAGGACGCAGCTGGTACATGGTCACGGGAAGCTGACCCTTGGTTAAGTTGCGAAATGAGCCTGTGGCAAATCATTAACTCTCCCTCCAGCCCCCGCTCCACCCCCGCACACCACGCAGGTGCTTCTACTCGCCAGCTCCCTCCTCCCGTTTTCCGGTAGGGCAATGCCCCGCCCCTCCACCTGCCGCGCCTGCCCGGGGAAGGCACCGCCCACCTGACCCTTTCCTCGCACCTCGCGGTGTTCTGCGGCTCTCGTCTGCTCCGCGAAACTTAGATTGTATGTGGAAGCATTGGAATCTAGGGGGTGCTCAAGTTTCTTGCTTGGTTTGATAGTGTGGGAAGAGTTGGCATCTGCGCATCCCTTTGGGAATGTACTAAATTCATCTTGAAAGTCAAGCTTTTTGCTCTCTGCTATTGCACATGCTAGGCGCTGGGAGGCGATGAGCGACTGAGCACAAAGCCTGTTGTTGACCTAATGGCAGAGCCAGATCGGGTTAAATCAATGGCAAAAGCGCCATGGGGGAAGTTAGACGTGAAGGTCTTCGACCTCCTTTCCCCAAGCGGCGTCCAAGCTTTGGACTGACTGTGATGTTGAGCTATGGAAGACAAAGCCCTGAATTTGGGGTTGGGGCAGGACTGCACAATTTAGGAGGCCTGGTTCTAGTCTACCCACCAGCTGTGTAGACATGGATTCGTCCTTTGGGCCTGCAAAAAGAGAGGCAGTTAGTTCCTAACATCCTTTTTTCCCATCGCAGAGCAGTGGTTCTGACGTGGCATTGATGCCAGGAGAGCCAACATCCACTTTGCAATGTCTTCTGTGTCCAGAAATGAAGAAATGAATTTCAAAGACTACCTATATACATCATTTAAAAATGCAAATAGGCCTGGCATACAAAATGCATTATGTCTGTAATCCCAGCATTTTGGGAGGCCAAGGCAGGAGGATTGCTTGAGCCCAGGAGTTTGAGACCAGCCTGAGCAACATAGTGAGACCTTGTCTCTACAATAATAAAAATAAAAAATTAGCCGGATGTGGTGGTACCTGCCTGTAGTCCCAGCTACTGGGGAGGCTAAGGTAGGAGGATTGCTTGAGCCCAGAAGGTCGAGGCTGCGATGAGCTGTGATCAAGCCATGCACTCCAGCCTGGGTAGCAGAGCGAGATCCTGTCTCAAAAAAAAACAAACCAAACAACAACAACAAAACCAAGGAAAGCTAACATAATTTTTTAAAAAGAAACAAAAAGATAAATTATAATAAAACATGATGTCTTTCAATATATAAATGTTCAGGCAAGACTTACCAGAAGACATAAATGAAATAGGCAGATTGCTTGCACCCACACATAATATATGTTTGAATTTAAGAGAAATAGAAGATGAGCCATTCTATGCAAAAACAAAAATCACACACATGCAAGAAAATGAAAGAGTAGCAGGAAGTGAACATAGAATAAAAACTGTTAGATAAGGAATAACAGACCAGACGTACTTGCATATGATGAGAGGGAAAGCATCTTAATTGAAATAGGGATAACATAGCAAGGCAAATTAGAGAGCACAAGGTGGAGATAATATAGAAGTATGATGTGCATGCAAAGGAACTCAGTCTTAGGTATGTGTGTATTGTCAAAATAGCTCCCATGGAATGGGGTCGCCATAGAGTACCACAGACACATCAACCTCTGTCTTGAAACATATCAGCGTTGAGGTAAAATTCAGTCTCTGGGATCTTAAAAGGCCTTAGAGATCACATATTTCCAATGGGCAATGGGGGATAGAGGATGGATTGGGAAAAGAAAAGAAGATAAAAGTGGTTTAGAGCAATTGCATGTGGACACCCGGGACAGTGTTGTAAAGACAGGACACAACATTTCCACACATAATTATGACAACATAGCATCCTTGGGCTCCAAAAAAACTAAACATATAAAGGATGGCAATAATATGAAATAAACCCTAAAAACTTTTATTAAGGAAACTCAGTGAGATCTTCTGCATCTCAAGTGTCTCTGATTCCATGTTTGCTTCTCTCACATATCCTCTGTTAAATATTTTCAGTCAATTTCTTCGTTTATTCAGTATCACCTACTGATCAGAACTGTTTTCAATCAAATACATAGTAGCTGAAATCTTATAATCCTTTGTGTAGACAATGCATGGAGTAGATTATTCAATAATTTTAAGACAATGTCTTTATTCCTTTTAAGCTTCTGCTCCATAATAACCATCTCCTAACTTTCTGAGTGTTCATGAAATTTATTTTTAAAAGCTTACAAAACCTTTTGGTATTACTGTCAATTGAAGTATGACCAACTTTTACTGGTAGTGGGTTTAGTTCAGTTGTACATTCGAAAGTAGTACAGGATATGGGACAATTCTTTGTTTTGGAAATCTGTCCTGTGCATTGCAGTCTCGAAATGCCAGCAAGAGTTTTGCACCCTTATGATTGAGACAACCAAATGCCCCTAGGGGCCAGAATCATCCCTGTTGAAATCACTCGTAGGTTAAGAGCTTCATCCTGGCTTCGTGAAGCCTTGGGCATTTTATTTATCCTTTCTGTGCCTCAGCTTCTTGGATAATTATAGTACCTATGACTGACATAGAGGATGAGGATTCATGAGTAAATGCATGTGAAGTGCATAGAACCAGGTACCTGGCACATAGTAAGCACTTAATGAACCACTGTTATTCCTGTTACTGTATAGTTATAATAATTACTATTGTTATTAATGTTATTATTAGTATACTGTTAATATGCTTTATATGAAAGACTTCTACTGTCATCTCAAATTGTGGTGCTAAACCACTCCCGCAGGTGTATAAAATAGCAACTGGGGATGCCCCTTCCTGCCCCCACCCCCAGCCATGGAACCCACCTGTGAGCTCAGGAGAATTAAACGCTCATGATACTGGGCCCTCCGGGCCTGATTCTCTGGGTACTGGAGCTAAGCCCAGAGGCGCTGTCCACAACTCATCCTTCTGGAGAGGGACCTTCATAGGGACAACGCCGGGAAGGCTGGTGCTAGTCCTCGACCCATGGCAGTCTCATGACCCTGCCATGATGAGAAAAGTGTGGGGTAGTGCAGTTACTCCCTGGGCTGGAGGCATAGAAGTGGCAGGGGAGGGACACCTCAGGGATGGCACGGGCCCTGGTGATGTCTTCCAGCAAAGGCTGTAGAGCTAGTAAAGGAGGGGTCCTGGAAAACCTTCTCCCTCTTCCCACATCAGGCCCCTGCAGGTGGCCAGGGAGCCTTTGCAACATCACCACTTCCACTTCCTCACATTTGGAAGTGAATTTGAGTTTTCAAAGTGATTTTCATCCATTTTCTCATTTGTCTTTCTTGAAAGTTCCATAAGATGGTGGTTAATATACCCATTTTCCAGATGAGGGAACTGAGACTCAAGAATTTAATGACTTGTCCAAATCTTCATGCAGCTAGCAAGGAGCATGTTGCTAGGGGCAGGAGTTGAGGATGACATGCCACCTTCTCTCATTGGTCTCAGTAACGAGGTGAGGCTCGGGATGAGGAGGGGGACGTGGCGTGGCCCCAGTTCCCTGGCAGCAGCAGGGTCTGAGGCTTGGCTGCCTGCCTGACCCTGTCGTGCCTGTCTTCAAGAATAAATAAGTGATCATGCAGTTACACAGCTCTGCTCCTTAAAGGACATTCTGCTATTGCATTTTCATTTACATTTCTCAGCTACTACCCCCTTTTTACAAATCCCAACCTGGCTTGATCTGGTAGGGGATGGAGCAGGCACCAGCTGGCATCATCTCTTGAGAGGAGGAGGCAGCCCTTGTCGGTGGATGCAGTGATGCCCGGTGGTACTCTGTGGTCTCACATTCCACCTCCTCCCCAAGCCCTTGCCACTGGCTCTGGCTCAGATGGAGCCTGAAGATAAAGGCTCAGCCCCCCAGAAAGTGACGAGTTCTCCAATATGCATCCCCCTACCCCAGCCTCTGATGCAGGCCCTCCCCCAGAGCCTACATCTGGTCACAACTCTCCCGGGTTCACAAAGGACATCATCCTGGGGATGTGACAAAATCCAAAATAGAGTCGAATCTTAAAAATGACCTCCCCCGTACTAGCCCTTAGAAATGGGAACAGGTGTCCAGAATTCAGCTTCAGCCATGAAAGCCAAGCCGATGCAAGATCAGGAATTAGAGGAAGCTTGCTTTCTCATCTCTCCTTCTCGCTTTTTCTTGAGCCATCCCTCCCTCGGACAACATGCAGAAGCCCCGCTGAGCCTGCCAGTCTCCCGGGCGCACCTCTTCTCTTCCACTACCCACCCCACAAAATTTACCAGGCTTCTTGACTCTTGGTCCCCACAGTAAGATTCCAAATTGAGAAGCACTGGTAAAGCCCTTCACACAGAGTGTCAATACCTGATAACCACAAAACACCTGCCAAGAGAAATAAACCAAAGGGATGGAGGCAGAATGAGAACTGGGGTGGTCTCATACCTCCCACCAAATTATACAACTTCTTGTAAAGCAGCAATATAGCGCATTGTGTAGTAATCAAGAAAGGCTGGGAATTCATTCTCTTCTCCTGCTGTCCTGTCCTTTGTATGAGTCAAACCAAGGGAAGGTGCCAGGGCCTGAAGCATCTGATACTGCCATTATACAGAACCTTGGGGCAAACCCTGATCTGGGGTCACCTGAACTGAAATGATGATGCTGGTGTTGGTAGCATACCCTCGCTTCCCCAGCTCCTGGGGATGGAGGCCAAAAAGTGCAGGCTGAGGCACAGGGGAGGAAGGAGCACATGTTTTACACCCAGCCTACCTCCCAGCCCCCATTCCCCTTTCCTGCCAACCCCACAAGCTGCCAACCCCACAACCCCACAAGCACCACAAGGGCAGACACCGAGTAGGAGACACACACCACATATACAAACCATTCATTTTATTTCCTGTATTGGGTTTATACAAACTTGCAAGATACAAATGCAGAACTCACTGGGATTCTTCAGTACCTAAATCTAAAAAGAATGCTGCTGAAAGGGGGAAGCAAACTCTCACCTGTTTCAGTCAGGCCATCCCTCCTCCTGGGGAGGGGGCTCATTGGCTAGAAAGATGCTAAGGGGATGCTACAGCTGTTTGTCCCCTGACAGAGATTCCATCTATCTAACCTTCACCCTTCTTCTAAGGCCACTTTTATGCTAAATAAAGACACTGAGATAATAAATTTCCTTGTACAGTTTATTGTCTAATACTAGCAAATCAAATTGGCCCCAATATGTGCATAAATAGATATACGTGTGTGTGTGTGTGTGTGTGTATATATATATATATATATAATGTGTGTGTATATCATATTTTTTCTTAGTTTTAAGAGCTGCCAGGTAGAGGGTGCCTAAAGGGGAAAGGAATTGGTTCCCTCTTGCCGTAGCCAGCCCTGCCCAAGAACATGCCTCTCCCAAAGGCCGGAGAGCAAGTGTGCCACTTGTGCCCTTAGAAAATCTTCAAAGTGACAGTAGCAGTATTTGACTGCAGCCTCTTGGTTATTGATCATGGAGGTAATGTGCTCATTGAGAAGGCCCTGGATGAATAATCAGAGCTTCCCCAGGTGGGTCACTTAGCTCTGGACCCCCATCTGGGCTCTGTTCATTCAGAGCAGGATGTTCTAGGCTGGCGACAGGGTGTCAGTAAATGCCCCAGGTGGGAGGCCAGGCTTCAAACGCTGGCCAGGAGCTCTGCTCTAGATTCCCAAGCCCTTGATTTCAGACCTAGACAAAGACTTCCATCCTGCCCAAATCCTTGCAAGGCCAGAGACCCTTTCCCCACTTTGATGGTTGACAAAGGCTAAGCAGCTTGGAAGGCTGAGCTGGCTTAGTTCGGTGCCCCAGTGGCAGCCTGCTGGGGTAAAGTCCCGGGGGTTTCTTGGGTGAGGTTGAGATGCCACCTTGTCTGTAGGACCCTCCTTGGCCCAGAGGCTGATTTCACAGTCTGGATACCAGACTGAGGTACCATGCCTTTGGTACAGCCCCCAGAGAGAAAGGTTGCAGAGGGGGGATGTCATAAATGTGACCCAGGCCAGAGAGGGATCAAGTGAAAAGGAGTGTGACAAGTCCAAGGAACTTGTATGTGTCTGTGCTACAGGGCCAGGGATGGCCCAGAGGATCCCAAGCCGCCTCCTCTGGGCTTCGCACCGTCTCGTACACTGACATCCTTAGTGCTGTTTGGCATAGGCTGCTGTTACGCTGTCTGCTCTTTCCAGCAGGCTGATGAAGAGGGGTAGTCTAGCAGCCCATCTGGGGTGCATGCCTGCATGGGTCTCCTTTGTGCATACAACTGCAAACAGTTCCTTCCAGAGGATTCACGCCTGACAACCGCAGAGGGTCATCAGGAGCAGACAGTGTAATAAAATCCTTAGGCCAGGACTTCCGAGGGAATGCCCTGCCCCCGGCAAGATGCTTTCTGGGTGAGCTCTGGGGACCAGCCCTTTCGTGACTGGGGAATAGGATGGAAGGAAGCCACTGTGGCAGAGGGACAGGCACAGGGTTGGGACCTAAAGGCAGTTACCCCATCTCCTCACCTCATTTGCCAATTCCATTCAGACATTGCACAATTTGAAAATAGATTTGCTTTTTTTAAACAAAAGCATAAAATAGATGTCTTAAAATAAGTCTTTCCTCTCCCCTTCTTTGGATCAAAAAGGCAAGGGGTATGGTCTTGATATGCTAGGAATGATGTGGAAAATAAGGGAGAGAAAAACAGGCCTGGGCAGGAACTGTAGGAAAAGATCAGACATCCAAACAAATATATTACATATATAGATCTATAATATGTATAATCTCCATAAAACATATATTAAGGCATGTAAAGCAACATAAAGAGCCAGCTTTATGAAATAAGAGATGAGAGAGAGGTGGCAGAGGCGCAGACATTATTTCTTGGTATTTTACATGTATTTCTAAAAAATATTACTTTAAAAAAAAAAAAAGAGACGGACAAAGTGGCAGGCATGGAAGGCCCTGAAAAATCTGTTTCCTGTGGAGGGAGAAAGGCTTGGGAGAAAGAGAGAGAGAGGAAATGACCTGGGAGCCAATCCCACCTGCCAGTCTGCAGGGGAGAAAGGGCAGGTTTGGGGTGCTTGAACTGTGAAGATGGGAAATACAGCCAAGGGTCACGTTTAAAAAACCTGCTAGAAGTGAAGATCGGTGGAATCCTCCCAGGCTGTAATCCCTCAGAAACATGAGAATATCCTAAGCACCTACAACAGTGCCTGGTACATAAAAGGTGCTCGATAAATATTTGTTGAGTAAATTGTCATCTTTACTTGCATATGAACCAGTAACTGTCCCAGCCATGAAGGAGTGCAGAGGAATTAGTAGGTGTTCTTGGGACCGCTGGAAGTCAGGCTGAAGCCTCTGAGCGGCAACTCTAGCAGAGAGAAGGCCGAGGGGCCACGGTGTCTTCAGTTTCCCTCCTTCCTCCTCTCTGGCTACATTCGTCTCCAGGTGGGTGGAGCTGAGGAGGAATGCGTTTGCTTTTCTCTGTCTTCCCCGCTGCCCTCCCGGGGCAGGTGGATCATGAGAGCGCCTAGCCTCAGCCAGTCCTCGTCTGGGATGCCTGGGATAGGGGGATAGGCCTCCCAGATTAAGGCCTCATCCCCCCTCCTCAAGGCGTACTCTCAGCTGGCCCACTGCACATTCCAGGGGGAACAGGGCAAGAAATATCATGGAACTGGGTAGGTAAGGCCCCAAGGCTGACCACACCCTACATAAGACAAGTCCTTCTCTCTGCCCCTTACCCCAGGATGGCGAGGCAGACACCAGGCACAGACCTACTAACAGCCATCTCCCAGGCAGTCGCTACTCAACCCCCTTCACCCAGATCCCCACACCAAGCATCTCCACTGAGGCTGCATGTGCTCCACTGGTGGGTCCTCCTAGGGATGAGGTGGGAGGAGCAGAGGAGACAGTCTGGCACTGCACTGGGCACTAACCTAAGGCTCCACCGGGGGAAACCAATCTGATATCCCCTTTCCATCTCCCTCCTTCCTGCTTGACTTGCCAATGTGTCCTGCTGCTTCCCCCTCCTTCCACTCTGAGGATCTCTCTCTCTCTCTCTCTCTCTCTCTCTTTCTGTCTCTCTCTCTCTGCTACCCTTCCCAACCTGCCCTCAGACACTGCACAGACCTGCTGTTCTCTAGCCACAGCCAGCACTGTTCCCTCTGGGAGCCAATGGCCTCTCCCCATCTCTCATCACCTTGTCTTTGGCTCAAGCAGGGTGGTCAGTCTCCACCGGACCCCAGCGAGCACCCATAAGCAAAGCACTGGGTTTGTGTCAAAGCCCTGGGTCCAGCTGAGGCAGTAGGGTGGGGCTGACGAGGATAGGGATGATGACAAGTGCTGTCCTTGGTGTCAGGCTGGCTCCAGAGGCAGTGTCCATCTCCTCTTCACCTCTAGTCCTCACATAAGATAGCCACAGGTGTGTTCTCCACCACGGCATGTCCCCCATCAGGGAATGTTCCACTGGAGTCACCACAACCCCAGCCAGGGCAAGGCTGAGGCTCCCTGTGACTTGGACATTAATGAGGATGGTGCTCCCCACTGTCATCTCAGGCCCTGGCCCAGGACCACGGTGTGAGTAGTGATGGCTCCAGGGCTGGGCATGGTGGGTGTGTGGACACTGAGGTATCCACGGTCCTCTGGCAGCAGCCCATGGCCCCAGCCTGGCTCCCTGCGGCATTCCCATGGGAGTGCAGGGGCAGGGGGCCAGGGTGGGGAGCCAGGACCTCAGGTGGGCAGAGGACGGCTTCAGAATGTGGCTCTGTGGAGCTTCACAGCATTGGCCTCAGCCAGGGCTTGCACTGGAGAAAAAAGAAATGGAGTGAGAAGAGTGCTGCACAGAGGAGCAAGGACTCCAGCCAACCTTCCCAGGAAAAAGAAGCCTCATCCTGCAAAAACCTGGCAGAAACCCACTCCGGTCCCTCAGTCCTGAGAGGGGAACAAAGGAAAGGAAGTCAGTGTTCTTTTCTACTTGACTGAGAGTGAGCGGCTGTGGGCTAGGGGCAAGGGAAGGGTTCACAGCCTTTGGCCGTAGTTGTCAATGTTATTTTAATTTACAGTAAGATCTGGGAGTGGAGAAACAGCTTCTGAGGGCTTCTGAAGGTTCTGCATCTGTGTATCTCAACAGATGGAAAGCTTGTCAGCAGACAGGAGGCACAGGGGTGGGGTGTCAGGGAAGAGCCTTCCCTGAGAGCAGACAGGTGAGGTCTCGGCTCCATTCCCTGCCTGCTTCTGGAGAAGCAAAGGCCATTGGCATCACAACATCCAAGAAGCGGCCCTGCCAGCTGGCTCCAGCCCAGCACTGCGTGGGGAAGCTGGATGGACGGATGGATGGATGAATGGATGGATAGTGGGGAGGAGCAGCACAGGGCACTGGGGTAGGGGAGAAGCAATACCAAAATGAGAGGGCATAGATGGCTCAATGGGGGTGAAGGAAGGGGCCCCACTCCCGAGGTGGATGAAATACAGTAGAAAAGTGCTTACGTCAGAGCTCAGACCCGCATGGTATAGCTGCTGTCGGCGCCCCGTGGGGATTCAGACGACAGGGGGTTTGCTGGAGGAGCCGGGGAAGCAGGGGAGGTGGGAGGGCTTGGGGTGGCACATTGCACTGGAAACAGAAATGAACAGGGAGGTGAATGGGGGTGGGTGGGGGAGGAGGGTGGGCACCCAGAGCAAGCGAGGCCCTCCCCAGGCAGGGAGTGAGGCAGGGAGGCAAGCGAAGAGAGAGCACTGAGCTTGGAGCTTGCTCAAGCTAGGCCAAGCTGTCCTCATTCCCAGGGCGTCGTGGAGGAGAGTGTGAGGCCCCAGAGGAGACCTGGCCGAATCTAGGCTCTGCTGAGAACCAGTGTGACTGTGGGTAAGGCCAGGCCATCTCTGGGCAAAGGGCTCCCCTCCCATCCACACAATGGGGAGATTCACACACCTCTCCACTACTGTGCAGACAGAACCAGGGAGTGGTACTTTATATACGGCAGTGTCACTAATGATAATGATTAATAGTGCAGTAAAATCACACTAATCCAAACCATCTGGCCCCATTTAATGAACAGAAGTGAAGTGACCACCATGTTAATCAATGCCATAAAAACAGAGATTTCTAATAAACTTAAAGCGAGTTCTGTCAACTTGGCACAGTCAAGGGCTCGGAAACATGTTCCCTGCTAACACTTGAGACCCCCTTTTCATCAGTCCAGTAAAGGCAAACTTCGGTCCACCCCTGAGCAAATCGAGACAAGCCTGAAATGATGTTTGAATTAATGAGATTTTACTCTATTATCATTATTATTCCATGTTAAGAATAGCAAAGTGGAAGGACAATGAGAAGGGGAGACTTATTACTGGGGACAAGCTCTATGCAGTCTCCAGACCCTTATGCATCCTCACTGTAGCCGCGAGGCAGGAGGATGGCAGAGACAACATCCTCACTCAGGCTCAGAAAGGAACCAGACCTCAGCCAGTGTCACACTGCATTTCCACCGAGAGAGGGGACCCAAAATTGAACTTCCCAGTCCCTCGTCCCCCACCCTACCCTGGACTTCATCACCTTCCCTGCCGTCTGTGCAAGAGAAAGAGCCAAGGTGGCTACTGTCATTACATATCTAATACACCTACATGTGCATAGAACACATGTAGTTCTCGCATGGATGTGAAGTTTTCTGCCTATACACGATACAAAGTTTGTGCATGGGATCTGGCAAGTCCATATCATTACACTCATCGCACACAGCTCACATAAGCGTATTTGTGTACTTCCAAGCCTGTGCCCTTCCACATGACCCAACACTTGTAACTTCATGTGCAAATACACTCACAAACACTTTCAAACACACATTCGTGTGCATAGCCACATCACTGACCCAACGCTTAGTCATCTAGCAGTCTCAACTTCTAAAACAGCCAAGAAACCAAAAACGAAGCAAAAGATATCTCCAGGAAGCCAACATAGAGGTTATAGCCCACAGGACATGCAGCGAGGCTCTCAGAATTTACTCATATGGACCCCCTGGAGTCCAGTTACTCTTATTTATACGCAATTCTAAAAGGTGTTGACTCGCTGGGTTTCTAGCCCAGGGGAGATTAGAAACAGGAAAATTCAAAGAGACAGAGGAATTGGGAGGCCCACTGACATCTGTAAGAAAGCACGACTGAGGAGAAAAAATATTTTGTAAAAAGCAGACATAACAGCTTTAAAAGAGTGACAGTTTGGGAACATTTAGCATAGCTACAAACAGATCTATGTCCATTGTGGCCCTAAGGGCATTCCTTTAACAGAGATCGGCAAAATAAAGATATTTATAATGATAATACATGAGCAAGAAGAGGTCATATGTAAACAGAACTTTGTTAAGAAGGCAGAAAAATACTAAATATATATTAGAAATATATCCATCAAAATAGTTAAGATTTGCATATGCTGCAGATGTGAATCATACAGATGTGATATTATAATGTGTGCAATCACAAGTACCACATGCATGCAGAAATGATCAGTCACACATACTCACATTCATGACACTGTACTTTCTCCCAGCCTGTGCACACAGACAGAAGTTCACAGTATTGCAATATATACACTGTACACAACATATACACAAATATGCTTTATCATTTCCCATACTGCGGAAAAGCCAATCACACATAAATACATGCATTCATAAACACCACCTCCACCAATGTATTGTACACTCACATACATGTACATTTATGCTCCAACACCTTACCATATACCACCTGGATTCATAAATAACAGGTCTCCACACAACATCCTTAGACATTTTACACAGACATAATACACATTCCTACATTTGTACTCAAACCTTTCCTCCACTCTCACACTGCATACTTGAATACACACAAATAAATGCATGAATCTACAAACATGACCAGATCCAGACACTGCACAAGACATTCGCGCCACACGTACAAACTCAAAAAATGCCATGACTTCCACATATTACATACCTGAGTCTGCACGCACCGGGTGGATTTGTAAGCATAACAGCATTCCTCACTGATTACTCTGTCCATGCCACACACCACACGCGGGCACTGAACTCTACTCGCTGCACCCGCTGCACGCTGTGCTCATGACCTGTGCCCAGCACTGCCACACACACAGTGTCCTGGGTGTGAACCTGTGCCCACACAGTGCATGCCCAGGACCAGTCTTGCTGTGCCTGGCAGAGCTGTAGCTCTGGGGAGCTGGGCCACAGGCCAGGGGCGGTGGGAACAGTGGGCTGAGTCTGAGGTCTGGCCCTGCCACAGCCCTTTTTTAAATAGTTGGGGTTTTGGCAAAAGCAAGGTGACCGTTTGGTTTCAGCACACAGACCCTGACATGTAAGCCCATGTGTATCAAGACGGAAATCGGATAGGCCGGGTGGGTTTTGTTTTCATGGGACCTTTGGCTGAGGAACTATAGTAGAGAGCGCCAGGGGCTGGGGCTGGGGCTGAGCAAGGTTTTTAAACCAGCCTTGTCTCTCTAACCCCTTGAAACAGGAAGTTGCCTTTTGCCCAGAGCATGTGGAATCTGATCTTTGGAAGGTTCAAGTTCATTTTGCAGCTAAACTACAGGGAGGTTCAACAGAGGCCTGCTTCCTTGTGGCCAGACTGGTTTTGCTGCCTTTTGGCTGCAGGATGGGGCTCTCTGAAGCTATCCCTTCTCTTACCCTCAACTCCAGCCTAAAGACAGCCTCTCCCTGAAATACCTCCAAGGCTCTCCCTGGACACCCATTCTAAAGTCCATTACACCCTAACTGGCAGAAGGTTCTTCATTAAGGCTTACTTAAATCCTCTTTTCTGTAGCTAAAATCTGGTTTCTGAAAATATCCATATTTAAAATAATTAGCAAAATGACAAATGGTTTCTATTTCTACTTCATCTATTGCTATTTCAACTACTACTACCAGCAACACAGCGCTACTGCTACTGTCACCACTACTACGGCACGCGAGCATGTATTGAGCACTTACTGAATGCCAGGCACTGTGCTAGGTGTTTGGCACACATTGTTTCCAATCCTCATACCACCAGCACTGGAGGCAGGAATTTTGATTTGAATTTCACAGATGAGGAAATGGAGCCTCAGAGCACCAGAATTTGAACCTCCTCAATCACCAACATGAAACGCCATCCCTTCCACTATGTTCTGAGCCACGGTTCTAACCTGCTCATGGCCTGGTTCTTGCCTGGGCTACTGGAATGGTGGCCTGCACACCTGCTCTAGCTTCTCTGCCAGTGTCATCTCCAACCATGGCTCCCCCTTCTGAGTCATTCCTCTTAACTGTGGCCTTCAAAGCTCTCACTCTCACTCTACCTCTCTATCCTAAGCACCTTTATCTTGATGAAGGGAACAGTCTCCCAGGCTCCTTGATTTACCCACTGTCTCTCCTCTCCCTTTAACCCTCCCATTCATACAGAATCTCTTTCATTCTTAAAAGCTCAACTACATTTTCATCTATTCTGGGATGATATCTCAGGCTGAGTAGAAGCTGACCCTGTTGATCTCAGCCCTATCAGCATCTAGTCAGGACCTGGTAGCCTTTGTATCAGCGTGAAGTCAGTTCCTCATAGTTATCTTTTCTTAGCAGAAAAGTGAGTTGGATCAGTAGCCAAGGTGGTAATTGCATCGCTCTCAACTCTTTGGTTGCCCTCACTATCTTTTCTTGGCTTCTTCCTATTTGCATGCAGCAAAAGCAGGAAATGAAAGGATACTCTGGAATACCTGGCCCTCTCCCTGCAACTGAGAAATATTTTTATCTTTCTCAGTCAAACTCAGCTGTCATCTTTTCTCTGTGCCTTTCCCTGACCTGCCCAAGCAGAATGGCTCCCCATGCTCTGCATGGCCTCTGGCCATTACTCCCTAAGGTGGCTGTAAGGATCATCCCGGCTCTGAGCTCCTGGATGCAGCAACTCTGGCCCCTTTGCACCTCCCTGAGCCTAGCACAGTACCTGGTGCTCAACAGATGCTCGTCTCAACCTCGAGGAGCATCTCCTCAGCCTTGTATCTCTTTGCTACTGCCCCCCTTGTAGCAGTGCCACGCTTCCTCCCTTAAACCTGGTCAGCTGGTTTCCCTGGCAGGGTGGAGCGAGGCCCAGCCCCTCTCACCAGACAGCATGCGGCCCCTGCGGGAGGCCTCGGTCGCCAGGGCGCAGGAGATTTCAATCCGCTTCTCCTGCTCCTGCAGCTGGCTCTCTGAGTCCTGGGGCACGTCCACAGAGTCCCCCTCGCCGATGGGCACCACGTTCTGCATACTGAAGAGGCACAGACACACAGAAATGGAGGGAGGGACAGGATGGTCCAAGTGGCTTGAGGGGGCCTGCGGACTGAGGTTGGCAGGGAGGGCCAGGGCCCCGTGAATGTGCAGTCTCTGGTTCCCAGCAAGGCTGTCCCTAGGAGTGAGTGGGACCCTGGCAAAACACAGGTTGGGACCCCTACCTTCAATGTTCTCAAATGAATTAAAAGGTTCAAGTGAGCATTTAGGGCAGCCTTGAAGGGGAAAAGAAGTCACCAGAGGGCGAGCCTTCAGTTTTGTCTCGATGGTGTGGTGTGCACGAGCCTGGCAGGTCTTAGTAGCACCTGACAGCAGCATCCTTGCCTCTGCCGGTAGCTGGGCCCTGTCTGCTGCCTGGAGTCACCACCTCGATGTGCTCTCCCCTGGGGAGGCTCTGTGCCCCCAACGACTTCTAGTGGCCCAGGTGTCCTAGGTGCCAGGGTGAGCAGAGGAAGTAGAGGCTCACCCAGGCTGGTTACCTGGATTTGGCAATGAGTGTCTTGATCCTCTCCACCTTCTTCTGCTTCTCCTTCAACTCCTCAGGGCTCAGGGGAGTGTCAGGCTCCAGGTCAATGTACCGTTCAGGGATGAGGACTTTGTCTGGAGTGGAGAGCTATGGAGGGGCTGGGGTCACCACCTCTGTCCCTTCCCAGAGTCTCCCACTACAGCCCTTCCTGGCTCCACTCACCTCCTTATTGATGTCCACGTCATAATGCTGGGGCTCTAGCTCCATTTTGCGAAGCCGGGCAATTTCCTCCCGGGGTGTCTCGTAGGCATGCCCGCCAGGCTCCTCTGCCCGCAGGGCTGCCTCCAGGTTGGAGATGTCTACCTCATGGATGCTGCGGTGGCGGCGCACCTAGGGGACAGCAGCATCGTGATTGCACCATGGCTACCCATGCCTCCAGGCAGCTCTAGCTATGCCCTGTCCTCGCTTTCCCTTCCCAGCTCGCCTGATCTAGCTGCCACCCCACTGCTCCCACCATACCCCACTGCAGAACTATCTTCCTTCCTTTCTGCTGGCCCAAAGCCTGCCCACCTGCTAGGCCCCAGGGGCAACATCTCATCATCTCTTGTCAGTTCTTGCTGTTCCCCATCCTGCTCTACCCTGTATTCTCATTCTGTGCTACATATTTTGGGCAGCTGAATTAGTGTGACTTGTATTGATTTCTTCTTTTTATTTTTTAAGAAACAGTGTCTTGCTGTCACTCTAGCTGGAGTACAGTCACAGAATCATAGCTCACTGCAGTCTCCAACTCCTGGCCTCGAGTCCTCCCATCCCAGCCTCCTCCCAAGTAGCTGGGACTATAGGTGAATCCACCATGCCCAGCTACTTGTTAAACATGTTTTTATAGAGATAGGGTCTTGCTTTGTTGTCAGGCTGGTCTCAGACTCCTGGTCTCAAACAATCTTCCCACCTTGGCCTCCCAAAGTGCTAGGATTACATGCATGAGGAGCCAACCACACCCGGCTAACTTCCAGTGATTTCATATTATAGAAGTTCTAATCCATCAACTAGAATGTAAGCTGTTGAGGACAGGACTTATGAGTCATAATTTTTCCATATTTCTAAAATTTAATGGAAAGAAAATTTAAGTGATGTCTTGGGCTACATCCAGCTCTGTACTTAATAGCTGTGTAGCCCAGGAATCCTTTAATTTCTCTTGACTTTGTTTCCCCATCTGCAAAATAGGGATAATAATTCCTAACCCAATGTTGTTAAAAGGATTAAATGAAATAACATGAAAGGGATTTGTGGATTATACTGTGCCATGCAATGGTGAGCTATTATGATTATCTTCATCGCAGCCAGCCCAGTGCTAGGCACAGAGGAGATGCTCCAGAAATGGGTGTAAGTGACAGCTATTTCTGTGTGGTGAATTCTGTACTATTCTCTATTAAGTGAATTTTGTATAATTCATTTCAACAAACATAATTAAGGCATTCCTTTTTGTGAGTTATTTTCTTTAAACAAGAAAAAGTCAACACTTGAAGGACTCTTCTGCCGATGGGGGAGAGGACTCTCCGGCTCTCCCAGGTGCCCAGCTTGGGTTCTTTCCCCTCTCCTTCCTCTCAAACCCCCCAGGCCCAAGCTGGCCATGCCCTGGGAGTGGGCAGTGTTGGCAGATGCCAGGCTCACGCCTGTGGGTAGCTGGGAAGGCATTACCACTTTGTAGGCTGGCCGGGGACTGGGGTCGGGGGCCGGGCTGGCCGGGAGCTGCAGGCTCCTCCGCTTCTCCCTCATGGAGCCACTCTGGTGCCGCCGCATTCGGTCAATCTGCTCCTCCACGCTCATCTTGACCTTCCCCTCGCCAGGAAACACAGCACTCTTGGGGCGTTCCTGCTGCCATGGGAAAACAGGGCTCTGACAAGTGCCTTATCCCCCACCCAGCTTTTCCATCCTGAACCCTTAACATTTACCTTCTACGGGAAGTCTGCCTGTAGTGGACTGAAGAGTGGTCCCCAAAAGATATGTCCAAGTCCCAACCCCAGGTATCTGAGAGTGTAACCTTATTTAGAAATATGAGATCACCCTGAATTAGAGTGGGCCCTAAATCCAATGGTGTGTCCTCATAAGAGACAGAAAAGAAGATGACATACAGAGTAGAGGTGACATGAAGAGGGAGGCAGAGATCGGAGTGGTTCATTTACTCAGAAAGGAATGCCAAGGATTGCCAGCAATAACCAGAAGTTTGGAGAGAAACCTACAAGAGATTCTCCCTCAGGGCTTCCAGAAGGAGCCAACCCTGCCACCACCTGGATTTTAGACTTGTGGCCTCCACATCCATAAGAGCATACACTTCTACTGTTTTAAGCCACCCTGTGTGTGGTGATTTGTCACAGCAGTCCTAGGAAACTAACACAGATTTTGATACTGGGAAGGGGTTGCTGCTATAACACATACCTAAAAATGTGGTAGAGACTTTGTAATTGGCTAACGGGTAGAGGTTGGGAAAATTTCAAGGTGTATAATAAAGAAAGCCTAGTAGATTTCCTTGAAGAGATGACTGGCAGAAATATGAGCTTTAAAGATGATCTGATGAGGGCTCAGAGGAAGTG
The DNA here is from genome assembly GCF_000001405.40 of Homo sapiens. NCBI lineage: Eukaryota > Metazoa > Chordata > Mammalia > Primates > Hominidae > Homo > Homo sapiens. The sequence continues at coordinate 204,231,306 of NC_000001.11, forward strand.
AACAGCATAGAAAAGAAAGCTTCTATTGCCCTAGAGAATAGAGTTATGCCTCAGTATCCCAGGGGACTGGTGCTAGGATCCTGATGGATACCAAAATTCATGAATGCTCAAATCCCTGCTATAAAATGGCAAAGATGTGCATATTACCTACACATATCCTCCAGTATACTTTAAATCACCTTTAGATTACTTATAATACCTAATACAATGTAAATGCTATGTAAACACAGTTGTTATCCTGTATTGTTGGGTTTTTTTTCTTTCTTTTTTTTTTTTTTCTGAGATGGGGTCTTGCTCTGTCACTCCAGCTGGAGTGCAGTGGTGCAATCATAGCTCACCACAGCCTTGAACTCCTAGGTTCAAGCAATCTTCCTGCATCAGCCTTCCAAGTAGCTGGGACTACAGACACATGCCACTGCACCTGGCAAATTTTTTAATTATTATTATTTGTAGAGATGAGGTCTTGCTTTCTTGCTCAAGCTGTTTTTGAACCCTTAGCTTCCAGTAATCCTCTTGTCCCAAAGTGCTGGGATTATAGGTGTGAGCCACCATGCCTGGTCTGTATTGCTTGTTATTATTTTATTTTTACTGTTGTTTTGTTTTTTAGTATTTTTCCCCTGAATATTTGTGATCTGTGGTGGCTGAATCCATGGATGCGGAACCCGGAGATATGGAGGGCCCATTGTATATATATCATGAATGGAATGCTGGTAGAAATATGAATGTTAAAGATGCTTCTGGTAAGGTCTCAGAAGGAAATGAGAAACGTGTTATTAGAAAGGGAAGAAAGGCCATCTTTATTATAAAGTGGCAGAAGTGTGGATATATTGTTTTCTACTGTCGAGTGGAAACAGAACTTGAAGGCTGTGATGAACTTAGATATTTAGCTGAGGAGATTTCCAAGCAAAGTGTTGAAGGTGTGGCCTGGTTTCTCTTTGTACTTACAGGAAAATGATACAGAAGATAAATTGAGAAAAGAACCGTTAAGCCAAGAGAAACCAGGGCTTTTTTATTTGGGAGGTTCTCAGCCTACCTAGTTCACAAAGGATGCTTAAGTTAAGAAACTCATTGTAGGAAAAGTGTGCCCTAGAGAGAGGGTCAAGGATGTAGCTGGACAACATTTTGCTAAAGAGATTAGGTATGTCTCATGAACCCAATCGACCATCCCAGAAGAAGCCAGAAATAGAGATAGAGTTATCTAGAATGGATACCCTTGAAATACAAAGGGGGTCTACAAAGTTTTTGAGACTGTTATACATACAGAAACACTGCTAGCTTGTACAGAAAGGACAGAGATAAGATGAAATGGAAAATGAAAATAACTATGGGACCTCTGGGATTCTACAGGCAGGAAATAGGCTAATAGAGCTACTTAACTACAAACACATGCTAACCTTCAAGGAAAAGCAAGAATGACTCAGAGCAAAGCTGTGGATGCAGAGGCAGGGTCCAAAGAGGCAGGCCTAGAGGCAGGGGCTGATGGAGTCTCTGTGGTCCCAGAGGGCAGGGGAGTGAGCCACAGAGGATTATTCTCAGGCCTTGAAACCTAATGGAATTTCCCCTGCTGGATTTCAAGCTTGCTTGGAATGGTGACCCCTTTGTTCCTTCCAATTTCTCCTTGTTGGGACAGGAATGACTTACTTTTTAAAATTTTTATTTTTTAAAATTTATTTTTTAAATAGAGATAGGGTCTCACTATGTTGCCCACACTGGTCTCAAACTTCTGGGCTCAAATGGTCCTCCTGCCTCAGCCTCCCAAAGTGCTGGGATTATAGGTGTAAGCCACCACCCCTGGCCAGGAATGACTTACTTATGCTTGTCCTCCACCATTGTATTTTGAAAGCAGATTAATTTATTCTTTCTTTCTTTTTTTTTCTTTTTCTTTTTTTTTTTTTGTCTAGCTCTGTTGTCCAGGCTAAAGTGCAGTGGCATGACCACAGTTCACTGCAGCCTCCACCTCCAGGGCTCAGACAATCTTCCAGCCTAAGCCTCCTGGAGGAGGCTAGGATATAGGTATGCACCACCACACCTGGCTAATTTTTTTTTTTTTTTTGAGATGGAGTCTCACTCTGTCACCCAGGCTGGAATGCAGGGGTGTGATCTCAGCTGACTGCCACCTCTGCCTCCCAGGTTCAAGCGATTCTCCTGCCTCAGTCTCCTGAGTAGCTAAGATTACAGGGATGTGCCACCATGCCCAGCTAACTTTTGTGCTTTTTGTAGAGACATGGTTTCACCATGATCCACCAGCCTCGGCCTCCCAAAGTGTTGGGATTACAGGCATGAGCCACCGCACCCAGCCCATCTGGCTAATTTTTAATTTTTTTGTAGAGGCAGGGTCTCACTATGTTGTCCAGACTGGTCTCAAATTCCTGGGCTCAAGTGATCCTCCTGCTTTGACCTCCCAAAGTGCTGGGACTACAGGCGTGAACCACTGCACCTGGCCAATTAATTTGTTTTCTAGTTTAAAAATGGAGAGATTTTGCCCCAAAATGGATCATACCTAGAGTTTCATGCATACCAGATGGAGATGATTTAGATGATGAGATTTGGGACTTTTGAGCTGATGATATTTCAATGACATTTTAGACTTAGGATACAGTCATGGGCTGAGACTTTTGGGAATGTTGGTGTTAGGTGAATGTATTTTGCAAGTGAAATGGGCATGAAATTTGGGTATCACAGGGTGGACTGAAGTTGTTGAATAGTACCCCCAAAAAGAGATGTCCAAGTCCTAGCCCCCAATACCTGTGACTGTAAACTTATCTGGAAATAGGTCTCTGCAGATGTAATTAAGAATCTCAAGATGAGATAATCCTGGATGAGGATGGGCCCTAAATTAAATGATGGGTATCCTTACATGGGGCAGGAAAGAAGACACACAGAAAATGAGGTGATGTGAAGATGGAGGCAGAGATTTGGTTGATGCATCTACAACCCAAGGAATGCCAAGAGTTACCAGGAACCACCATAAGCCAGGAGAAAGGCAGGAAACAGATTGTGTCTCAGTGTCTCCAAAGGAACCAACCCTGCTGGCACCTTGATTTTGGACTTCTAGCCTCCACAACTGTGACAGAATAAGTTTCTATTGTTTTAAGCCTCCTGGTTTGTGGTAATTTGTTAACTCCTGGCAGCCCTAGGAAATTCACACTACCTTGGATCAGCACATTTGACTCTGAACACTGACTTTTGCTGCTTTCCCTGCTTTGTATTTCATCAACGCACATTATGATAATTTTGTAAAATATTCTTTTATATTTTTTATGCATATGTGATGGTTAATACTGAGCATCAACTTGACTGGATTGAAGGATACAAAGTATTGATCCTGGGTGTGTCTGTGAAGGTGTTGCCAAAACAGATTAGCATTTCAGTCAGTGGAATGGGGAAGGCAGATCCATCCTTAATCTGGTGGGCACAATCTAATCAGCTGCCAGTGAATATAAAGCAGGCAGAAAAATGTGAAAAGGAGAGACTGACCTAGCCACCCAGCCTACATCTTTCTCCTGTGCTGGATGCTTCCTGCCCTCGAACATCAAACTGAAGTTCTTCAGTTTTGGGACTTGGACTGGCTCTCCTTGCTCCTCAGCTTGCAGGCAGCCTATTGTGGGACCTTGGGATCATGTAAGTTAATACTTAATAAACTGCCCTTTATATATATATATATATATATATATATATATATATATATATATATATATATATATATATCTAATAGCAGATATATATATATATCTGCTATTAGTTCTGTCCCTCTAGAGAATCCTAACTAATACAGATTTTGGTATTAAGGATGAACCCTAATTAATACAGATTTTGGTATTAAGGATGGAGTTCTTTCATTGGTTTTGGGGTTTCTGGAGTTGGCTGCTTAATATGATTAGACCCAAAAATGCTAAGGACTCTACTTCTAATAGTATGGAGAACACTGATAGTCCTTGGCATGAACTGTTTAGAGAGTTATGCAAAATAAATGCATTTGACACTCTTGATTCACGGTTCATTGAGAGGCAAGGAGTTTAGTGACTACATAATACCTTTGACCATATGTGGAGAACCAAGGAACATAATGAAGCTGGTTGGTTGCTCCTAAGTTCAGTAGACAGTGATGAAAGAAAATGATGAACTCAGGGATTCTATCTCCCAGCTTCAGAAGCAGATACTGAGCCTCAAGTATGCTAAGACTGTCCTGAGTTAGAGTCTTATCTCCTGTAGAGAAAGAGCTGAAATTGTGTAAAAACAGACACAAGCTCTTATCATGTGAGTGGCTGACCTGCAATGAAAAATGCATGCACAGCCTTGCCAGGCGTCTATTGTTAAAGTGAGGGCATTGATTGGAAAAGAATGGGACTCTGAAACTTAGAATGGGGACATGTAGGAGGACCCTGATGAAGCTGGGGACATGTAGGAGGACCCTGATGAAGCTGGGGACATTGAGTTTGTAAACTCTTATGAACCTTTTTTTGCCAGAAGGAACAGCTTCTCCATTCCCAATAGTGGCAACATCCCCTCCCCGACCCATGCTGCCATCAGCCTTTCCACCTTTGTCTGAGAAGGTAAACCCTGTGCTGCCAGAGGCAACAGTCAAGGCCTCCCCTGAAGCAGTTGCCAGGCAAGATAATGTTGATTCTCTTTGAGAGGCACCCCCAACACCTCTGTTTGCTTCTAGACCTATAACTGGACTAAAGTCCCAGCAGGCCCCTAGAGGTGAGGTTGAGAGTGTGACCCATGAGGAGGTATGCTACACTCGAACTGTTTGAGTTCTCTGATTTATATAAACAGAAATCTGGAGAACAGGCATGGGAATGGATATTAAGAGTGTGGGATAATGGTGGAAGGAACATAGTGTTGGATCAGGCTGAATTTATTGATTTGGACCCACTAAGTAGGGACTCTGCATTTAATGTTGCAGCTCAGGGAGTTAAAAAAGGTTCTAATAGTTTATTTGCTTGGTTAGCTGAAATATGGATAAAAGATGGCCCACTGTGAGCGAGATGGAAATGCCTGATCTCCCTTGGTTTAATGTAGAGGAAGAGATCCAAAGGCTCAGGGAGACTGGGATGGTGGAGTGGATTAGTCACTTTAGACCTACTCATTCCAGCTGGGAGGGTCCAGAAGATATACCCTTGACCAAGGCATTGTGAAACAGATTTGTGAGGGCAGCACTTGCATCTTTGAAGAGCCCTGTAATTGCTCTTCTCTGCATGTCAGATCTAACGGTGGGAACTGCAGTCACTCAACTAAAAAATTTAAATACAATGGGAATAATTGGATCCCGAGGTGGCAGGGTCCAAGTGGTGGCACTCAACCATCAAAGGCAAGGTGGGTGTAGCTACTGTAATGTACAGCAGAGGCAAAATGGCAATCAGAATAGTCTGACTTATGTAGAGCTCTGTCATTGGCTAATTAATCCTGGTATTCCTAGAAGTGAAATTGGTAGGAAGCCTACTGCATTCCTACTTAATTTATACAAGCAGAAAGCTTCCAAGTCAAATGGGCAAAAGACTAATTTGAATTATAAAAACAGAGAATCACAGCCTCTCAGTCAATTTCCATTCTTGAGCCAGTTTACAGATGCATAACCCCTTGAATGAAGGGGAGGCAGGGTCCTCTTGAGGAAGGACCCCACTATATTACCAACAATTTATGCAGTGAATCTTTCTTCTATCCTTCTCCAAGGAGACCTCTGGCCTTTTACCAGGGTGACTGTGCATTGGGGAAAGGGAAGTGATTAGACATTTCAAGGACTACTGGACACTGGCTCTGAGCTGATGTTGATTCCAGGGGACCCAAAACGTTATTGTGGTCCTCCAGTTAAAGTAGGAGCTTATGGAGGTCAGGTAATTAATGGAGTTTTAGCTCAGGTACAACTTACAGTGGGTCCAGTGGGTTCCCAGACTCATCCTATGGTCATTTCCCCAGTGCCAGAATGCATAATTGGCATAGATATACTTAGCAGCTGGAAGAACCCCCACATTGGCTCCCTGACTGGTAGGGTGAGGGCTATGATGGTGGGAAAGGCCAAATAGAAGCCATTAGAGCTGACTCTATCTAGAAAAATAGTAAATCAAAAACAATATCACATCCCTGGAGGGATTGCGGAGATTAGTGCCACAATCAAGGACTTGAAAGATGCAGGGGTGATGATTCCCACCACATCCCCATTCAACTCTCCCATTTGGCCTGTGCAGAAGACTCATGGATCTTGGAGAATGACAATGGATTATTGTGAGCTTAACCAAGTGGTGACTCCAATTGCAGCTGCCTGTACCAGATGTGGTTTCACTGCTTAAGCAAATTAACACATCTCCTGGTACCTGGTATGCAGCCATTGACAAGGCAAATGCTCTTTTTTCCATTCCTGTCCATAAGGCCCACCAGAAGCAATTTGCCTTCAGCTGGCAAGGCCAACAATATACCTTTACTGTCCTACCTCAGGGGTGTATCAACTCTCCAGCTTTGTGTGATAATCTTATTCAGAAAGACCTTGATCACTTTTTGCTTCCGCAAGATATCACACTGGTTCATTACATTGATGACCTTATGCTGATTGGATCCAGTGAGCAAAAAGTAGCAAACACACTGGACTTATTGACAAGACATTTGCATGCCAGAGGATGGGAAATAAATCCGACTAAAATTCAGGGAACTTCTACCTCAGTAAAATTTCCAGGGGTACAGTGGTATGGGGCCTGTTGAGATATTCCTTCTAAGGCGAAGGATATGTTGCTGCATTTGGCCCCTCCTACAACCAAGAAAGAGGCACAGTCTAGTAGGCCTATTTGGAATTTGGAAGCAACATATTCCTCATTTGGTGTGTTGCTCTGGCCCATTTATCAAGTGACCTGAAAGGCTGCCAATTTTGAGTGGGGTCCAGAATGGGAAAAGGCTCTGCAACAGGTCCAGGCTGCTGTGCAAGCTGCTGTGCCAACTGGGCCATATGACCCAGCGGATCCAATGGTGCTTGAGGTGTCAGTGACAGATCGGGATGCTGTTTGGAGCCTTTGGCAGGCCCCCATAGGTGAATCACAGCAGAAGCCCCTAGGATTTTGGAGCAAGGCCCTGCCATCTTCTGCAGCTAACTACTCTCCTTTTGAGAGACACCTGTTGGTCTGTTACTGGGCTTTGGTGGAAACTGAACGTTTGACTATGGGTCACCAAGTCACCATGCGACCTGAACTGCCTATCATGAACAGGGTGCTTTCTGACCCATCTAGCCATAAAGTGGGTGGTGCACAGCAGCATTCCATCATCAAATGGAAGTGGTATATATGTGATCAGGCTCGAGCAGGTCCTGAAGGCACAAGTAAGTTACATGAGGAAGTGGCTCAAATGCCCATGGCCTCCACTCCTGCCACCATGCCTTCTCTCCCCTACCCTGCACTGATGGACTCATGGGGAGTTCCCTATGATCAGTTGACAGAGGAAGAGAAGACTGAGGCCTGGTTCACAGATGGTTCTGCAAGATATGCAGGCACCACCCGAAAGTAGACAGCTGCAGCACTACAGCCCCTTTCTAGGACATCCCTGAAGAATAGCAGTGAAGGGAAATCTTCCCAGTGGGCAGAACTTCAAGCAGTGCACCTGGCTGTGCACTTTGCATGGAAGGAGAAATGGCCAGATGTGCGATTATATACTGATTCATGGGCTGTAGCCAATGGTTTGGCTGGATGGTCAGGGACTTTGAAGAAGTATGACTGGAAAATTGGTGACAAAGAAATTTGGGGAAGAGGTATGTGGATGGAACTCTGTGAGTGGTCAAAAACCATGAAGATATTTGTATCCTATGTGAGTGCTCATCAAAGGGTGACCTCAGCAGAGAAGGATTTTAATAATCAAGTGGATAGGATGACCCATTCTGTGGACACCACTCAGCCTCTTTTCCCAGCCACCCAATGGGTCCATGAAAAAAGTGGCCATGGTGGCAGGGATGGGGGTTACACATGGACTCAGCAACATGGACTTCCACTCACCAAGGCTGTCCTGGCTATGGCCACTGCTGAGTGCCCAATTTGCCAGCAGCAGAAACCAACATTGAGCCCTTGATATGGCACGATTCCTTGGGGTGAACAACCAGCTACCTGGTGGCAGGTTGATTATATTGGACCTCTTCCATCATGGAAAGGGCAGAGGTTTGTCCTCACTGGAATAGACACTCACTCCAGATATGGGTTTGCCTATCCTGTATGCAATGCTTCTGCCAAGACAACCATCCATGGACTCACGGAATGCCTTATCCACCGTCATGGTATTCCACACAGCCTTGCCTCTGACCAAGCACTCACTTTGCAGCTAAAAAAAAGTGTGGCAGTGGGCTCATGCTCATGGAATTCACTGGTCTTACTATGTTATCCATCATCCTGAAGCAGCTGGATTGATAAAACGGTGGAATGGCCTTTTGAAGTCACAATTACAACACCAACTAGGTGACAATACTTTGCAGGGCTGGTGCAAAGTTCTTCAGAAGGCCATGTATGTTCTGAATCAGCATCCAATATATGGTACTTTTTCTCCCATAGCCAGGATTTACGGGTCCAGGAATCAAGGGGTGGAAGTGGAAGTGGCACCACTCACCATCACCCCTAGTGATCCACTAACAAAATTTTTGCTTCCTTTTCCCATGACATTATGTTCTGCTGGCCTACGGGTCTTCGTTCCAGAGGGAGGAACGCTGCTACCAGGAAACACAACGATTCCATTAAACTAGAAGTTAAGATTGCCACCTGGACACTTTAGATTCCTCGTACCTTTAAATCAACAGGCTAAGAAGGGAGTTATAGTGTTGGCTAGGGTGATTGACCTGGACTATCAAGATGAAATCAGTCTACCACTCCACAATGGAAATAAGGAGGAATATGCATGGAATACAGGAGATCCATTAGGGCATCTCTTAGTATTAAGAGATCCTGTGATTAAGGTCAATGGGAAACTACAACAGCTTAATCCAGGCAGGACTACAAATGGCCCAGACCCCTCAGGAATGAAGGTTTGGTCACTCCACCAGGAAAAACACCATGACCTGCTGAGGTGCTTGCTGAAGGCAAAGTGAATACAGAATGGATAGCAAAAGAAAGTAGTCATCAATATCTGCTATGACCACGTGACCAGCTGCAGAAGCAGGGACTGTAATGGTCATGAGTATTTCCTCCTTCTTTTGCTAAAAATATGTTTGTGCATGTATACACTTGTGCTAAGGAAATATCTTTATTTCATTTCCTTTTCCTTTATCATATGACATAGGATTTATTGACCTCACATAAGCATTGAAGTATTGTTAACTTTATGTAATAGTATTTGGGTTGGGGATTGGTGCATTTCCTGTTGTACAAAGGATAGTCGTATTATGTTAGGTGTAATTATGACCTTATTATTGTCTTTATTTGAAGATTATGTATGATCTCAGGAGATGTGTATGGGTTCAAGTTGACAAGGGGTGGACTTGTGATGATTAATATTGAGTGTCAACTTGGCTGGATTGAAGGATACAAAGTATTGATCCTGGGTGTGTCTGTGAGGGTGTTGCCAAAACAGATTAACATGCTGGGGAAGGCAGAGCTACCCTTAATCTGGTGGGCACAATCTAATCAGCTGCCAGTGAATATAAAGCAGGCAGAAAAACATGAAAAGGAGAGACTGGCCTAGCCTCCCAGCCTACATTTTTCTCCCGTGCTGGATGCTTCCTGCCCTCAAACATCGGACTCCAAGTTCTTCAGTTTTGGAACTCAGACTGGCTCTTCTTGCTCCTCAGCTTGTAGACAGCCTATTGTGGGACCTTGTCAGCATGTAAGTTAATACTTACTAAACTCCCCTTTACACATATATATTATATATCTTATTAGTTCTGTCCCTCTAGAGAACCCTGACCAATGCAGCATAGCTTCCTCATCCCCTGACACATCTCCCTGCAGGAGAGCTCCTCCTCCAGTGGGGCTCTTGCCCCTCCTCTCACGTGTTCCACCTTCCTCTCCAGCCCTGAATTTCTTGAACAGCAGAGGGAGATGAGTAGGTACACACACAGGCCCCTGGGCTCGCAGCCCAGCTCAGGCCTGCATGAGCTTGCAGAGGTACCCACCTGGGAGGAGAGTCCATTGGTGAGCCCACTGGCATTCCTTCTTACCACTGCTGATGGGGTCACCTCATCATCAGTGGGCGATTTTGTCCGAGGGGGCACAACGCCAACTGCAGAAAGACAGAGTAGCCAGTGGGCCTCATGGAGAGCAGGAAGGCAGGAAGCCTCCTTCTCAGAGACAATCTCAGCCCCACTCTCCACCGAGATTAAAAAGCCCAGGGTGTGGCACCAGGTTTTGGGTGTGAATGAGCACCCAGGGCTCCTCCCTGAGCATCCTTGCCTTACTTCTAGGGGAAGATGGGACAGAAAGTACCTTTGTTGAGAGCTGCCTGCTTCTCTGCCTCTACCTCTTGCCTGGTGGGCACAAGGCTGATGTCTCTGGGGGTGTCCAGGGGCAATGTCTGGTGGGGGTCTTTCTTGCTTTGTTCATAGTTTGCCTTGGGCTGGGGAGAAAGGGTGAGAAGATGGTTGATGTTAGTATGGCTGTCAGGAACTTGGCCCCCAGTGATGTTTCTTTGTTTTTTAATGGTTGAAGCTCAAACCCTTGCAGATACAAGGAACAAGGAAATTCTATGTGTGCCGCCTGGGAGGCGGACAGGAATGCACTGGAGCCTCCCATTCGTGCACTTTAAGACTGGTCAATGATGGGCCATCTTGAGGAATGATTGCTCATGGCCCCTAGGAGGCCCCTCAACCTGACCATTTGTCTTGGCTGGCACTAAGAACCACAGACTTGCTGTGAGCCAGATTCAAGGAATGGCCGGTGGGGGGTCTCTGAGGATCCTGTAGGGAATCCTACCCAAGACATGAGCAAACAGAACCAGGCGGGCCTTGGTACCAGGATTCTAGGGAAATGAAAAGGGCACTTAGTGTGTGGGCTCACAAAAACATGAGACTAGAAGAGACCTCAGCCATCATCTGAGCCACTGCTCCCATGGTACAGTTGAAGAATCTAAGCCTCAGTGAGAAGAATACAAAAAGAAGACCAGGCTAAAGGTCAGCAGCTCCAGTTCTAGCCCAACTAGAGAACAGAGGTCCCCTTTCTTCACCTGTCACATACGGGTAACATTACCTGCTCTGCCCATCTCACCAGGCAAACACTCAAGGGTTATGCAAATTATACATAGCTAAACCTAGATGAGCATATGAGTTTTCCAATTTTAGGCACAGGACTCTTTCTACTCACCACACAACCTCTTCCAAACCTAACTGCATATCTCCTGGATCTTGGCTAGGGATGCAGGTGAGAGAATGAGCCAGAACAGGAGAGAAAAGGGCCTGTATCCTTATACTACAGGGACTCATGAAACCCAACGAGGATACAACACAAAGTGGAGGCAGAGAGACAGCATGGGTGGAGTGGGGCCTGGGATGGGCACACGAAGGGATCGGAATGGCACTGCTGAGAGTATCACTCAGTCCCCATTGGCTGGTCATGTTGGTAGGGAGTGGGGCTTAATACCAGCACCCACAAACACTGGCTGCCCATGAGCCTGGGGTTGGAGCAGTAACTCATGTCCCCATCACCTACAGAAAGCAAAAAGGCACAGAAAGATGGCCTGTATGATGGCTTCAACTATCCTTTCCTTATCCCAGAGTCCAGCTGGGCAGGGGTGCCGTAGAAACCGACCTTTGGGAAAATTAATGGGGAAAATGACTCCAGGGCCCTGCCTTGCCCCTTGGCCTGGCCCTTTGCCCATTGTCCCCTGCCCCACCCTCCAGGACCCAAGGGTGATGGGTACCTGCCCCCTGGCTGTCTCGCCACTGCGGTGCCAGGAAGGGGAGCTGGGGTAGGGCCAGAAGCGGCTCTCGCTAGGGAGTGGAGGGACGGCTGGAGGAGACTCCAGGGGGACGTAGGCTTTGGGGAGGGGAGGCCGAGGCGGGCCAGGTTCCTGAGGCAGACAGAAGCCAGAGCATTAGGAGGAACAAGAGCAGCCACTGTGAGAGCAGGAGAAAAGAGCGTTAGCAGGAGGCAGACAACAACATTGCTGGAGACCTGGGTGGGCCCCTGGGACCACTGCACTCCCACCCGTGGCCTGAAGAGAGTGCCAGCTCTGAAGCCAACTCTCTGCCTGACCTTCAAGGCCTTCCTTGACCCAGCCTCTACCTGTCCACCACTCCCCACTGCTCCCCAAGTTTTCCCCAAAGCTCTCTCATTGCCTCGCCCCCATGCCAGGCAGCTCCTCTCCCACCCTTTTGCTTCCACCCACTCTCCTGCCTAGAATGCCTTTCCCTTGTTCCTCTCCCTGTCTTGCTGCTCTGTGGCCTGGTTTAGGCCCCACTGTCTGTTGGAACATCAGGGCGTTTACAGTCTGAACCATGTGGCTTAATGTTGAGACATATGCCGTCATGTTCCTATGAATTGGTCTTGGTCCATAGGATGCTGGGCTCCCTGAGTGAAGCCTTTGAGCACATGTGCGTATCTTTATTTTATTTTTCTTTTTTCTTTTATTATTATTATTTTTTTGAGATGGAGTCTGGCTCTGTCACCCAGGCTGAAGTGCAGTGGCGCAATCTCGGCTCACTGCAAGCTCCGCCTCATGGGTTCACGCCATTCTCCTGGCTCAGCCTCCGGAGTAGCTGGGACTACAGGCACCAGCCACCACGCCCGGCTAATTTTTTGTATTTTTTAGTAGAGACAGGGTTTCACTGTGTTAGCCAGGATGGTCTTGATCTCCTGACCTCGTGATCCACCCACCTCAGCCACCCAAAGTTCTGGGATTACAGGCGTGAGCCACCACGCCCAGCCTCTTTCTTTTATTTTTTATTATTATTTTTTGAGATGGAGTCTCCCTCTGTCACCAGGCTGAAGTACAGTGGTGCGATCTTGGTTCACTGAAACCTCCACCTCCTGGGTTCAAGCAATTCTCCTGCCTCAGCCTCCTGAGTAGCTGGGACTACAGGCGCGCGCCACCACGCTCAGCTAATTTTTGTATTTTTTTTTTTTTTTTAGTAAAGATGGGGTTTCACCATGTTGGCCGGGACAGTCTCTATATCCTGACCTAGCGATCCACCCGCCTTGGCCTCCCAAAATGCTGGGATTACACGATTACGCACCCTGCCACGTGTGTATCTTTCTAAGAGGGCCTCATGGTACCCCATGCCCACAGTCGAGCCCCAGAAAACACTTGCTGATTGACTGACTAGGAAACTGCTCCCCACACTGACCCTTAACCCTGTTGCTATCCTGGTATCATCCTAGATTTAAATTCTTGTGAAATGCATGCTGTCTGCTATCCATCCTGGTGCCCAGGAACAGGCTTCACTGCAAGGGAGCTAAAGATGACAGATGGAGATGAGAACAGGTAAAGGGGAAACCTGGAGAGAAGTTCACAAAATGGGGTGTGAGAATGACCTCCTTAAACAAAGAGCTCCAGCACTAGGGCTGGAGGCCTGTGGGGAAGAGATGGGCACAGAAGTTGTATAGTTTCAGACAAACGAGGATCTGGTCCTCCCTCCCCCACCTACCTTCTACTCCATTTCTCAACTTACCTCGTTGGAGCCAGGCTTGGTGGGGGACCCCTGAGAGCCCGACACCAGTGAAAAGGGGCTCAGGGGGCTGGTGAGGCTGGCAGAGCTGAGGGGGCTGGCCGGGCTGTTGGAGCTGTAGGTGGCTGAGGGGCCAAGTCCTCCTTGGGGGAAACAAGGGGATGGGTGAGCAATGGAGGAGGGGTGCGGCCTGGTGGGTAGATGGGCACTGTGAGTGGAGGTGGCAGGGAGAAGCCAGATCCAGGGATGTGGAAGGGCAGATTTAGTGTCTCAGGGCTACCTGGGCCTGCCAAAGGGGCTCATTACAGGTTCTGGGGCCACAGGCTGGCTGTT